>NC_000002.12:18267331-18418846 GCF_000001405.40 Homo sapiens | reverse complement strand
GAGAAACTGGATACTCATACGCAGAATACAACTAGACCCCATCTCTCACTGTATACAAACAAATAAAATCAAAATGGACTAAAGACTTAAATTTAAAACCAGAAACTATAAAACTAGATATAAAACCACTAGGAGAAAACATTGGCAAAACTCTCTAGGACATTTGTATGGGCAACAATTTCTTTTACTAAGACTTCACAGCAACCAAAGCACATATGGACAAATGGGATCACATCAAGCTAAAAAGCTTCTGCACAGCAAAGGGAACAATCAACAAAATGAAGAGACAACCCACAGAATGGGAGAAAAGATTTGCAAACTACCCTTCTGACAAGGGATTAATAACCAGGATATATAAGGAAGCTAAACAACTTGATAGGAAAAAATAATCTAATTTGAAAATGGGCAAACAATCTGAACAAATATTTCTTAAAAGAAGACATACAAAGACCATAAGGTACATGAAAAAATGCTTAACATCAGTAATCGTCAGAGAACTGCAAATCAAAACTATAGTGAGATACTGTTTCATCCCATTTAAAATGGGTTATTCTATTTCCGAAAAAAAAAATCATTGGAATTTTGATAGAAATTGCACTAAACCTGTAGATTACTTTGGGTAGTATTGACATCTTGCCAATACTAATTATGTCTTTCAATCCATGACCATCGGCTTTCTTTCCATTTACTTATGTTTACTCTAATTTCTTTCCAAAATGTTTTGTCGTCTTCATTGTAAAAGTTACTCACTTCCTTGGTTAATTTAATTACTAAGTATTTTATACTTTTTGATGCTTTTGTAAATGGAATTGCTTTCTTCATTTTCTTTTTGGATTTTTCAGTATTATTGTATAGAAAGAAATTAACTTTTGTCTGTTAGCTTTGTATACTGCACATTGCCGAATTCACTTGTTAGTCTTAACATTATTGTGTATGCATGTGTATGTATATGGGTGTGTGTGTGATCTCTAGGATTTTTCACATACAAGTTTATATTATCTGTAAAGGAAAATAATTTTATTGCCTTCTTGCCAAGCTAGATATATTTTATTTCTTTTTATGGCCTAATTGCTCTGGCTAGGACTTCCAGTGCTATGTTGAACAGAGGTAGCGAAAGTGGGCCTATGTGCCTTGTTTCTGATCTTAGAGTACAGCTTTCAATCTTTCAGCATTGAGTATGATGTTTTCATTGCTGAGAGTTGTAATTGATTTTTTTTATCTTTCTCACTGGTTTCAAGATGTTCTCCTTGTCTTTTAGGTTTTGAAGTTTTACCAAAATGTGTCTTATGTAAATTTTAAAATTTATGTTGCTTGCCATATAATATTTCCTACATCTATGGACTCATATACTTAATCACTTATGGATAATTCTTGGCTTTTAAACATTCAAATATTGGCTATTTTTGATATCTCTAGTCTGTCTTTCTGGGACTCACAGTGGGTATATTTTAGATTTTTTTAAATATCTAAAATATTTTTATATTTTTCAATTCCTAATCTAACTACATCAGATTAATATTATCAGATTGTCTTCATTTCACTAATTATTTCTTTATTTCTCATCTTTACTTTGATTAACTCACCAAGTTTTTAACTTTAATCATAGATAAATAGGTAGAGGTAGATATTCATTGCATATATTTATTATATTACATATATAGCCATATATATCATGTAATGTATATTCCTAAGTATATTTTCAAATTCTAATTAGCTCATTTCCAGATATATCTAATATTTTGTCAGTTTTTTGATAGCTACCATTTTTTATGACTCCATCACTTGTTAATATTTTATACATAGTTATTTCATTTTTGTATTTGAAAATTTTAATAGTTTCATTGGTAGCTTTGGTTTGTCTTGTTCCATGTTGAATATAAGGCATCTGTGTATTTGTTTATTTTCATTCACTAGGATACAGGTGGATGTGTACATTGAGTTTTAACTCCAAAAGAAGTGCTCATAGATGTTATCGGAGTGCTTTAACCTGTGGGCCACACAGAAACATTGCTAGAGCTGTTTATCTTCCTGGTTACCAATTGAAGATCTATTTAGTAAAGAAGAAAAGATTGGGCTGGATTTGGGATTAGAATAGAGGCAAGGCATCCTTCCAGAATCTCTGAAATATAATAATTTGTCTAAAATGGCTTTTAAAGTCATTTACACCAGGTATAATGAATAAACATCATGAAGTAATAAAATACAAAGGAGAAATAAATATCTAAAAAATACTAAAAAAAGTGATACAAGTATTATAAGTAATATAAATTTTAAGCAATGAAATACTACTTTGTCTATAAAGCTAATACATTTTCGAAAGCTATAACATTCCTAGTGGTTATCAAAAACAGTGGGGAAGACTTACATAATGATATAAGATGCCCAAGATATTACATGAACTGAGCAAAGTACAGAGAAGTTTGTATCATAAGAACATACTTGTATAAGTTTTGAAAAGGGATCTCCATATATATGCAGATATGTTCTTTTTTTTTCTGAAGGATATTTAAGAAACTGTTAACAGTGATTACTATGGGGATGAAGAAATAGTGATGAGGAAATGATAAAAGGGAGATATTTTCTTTTTATGTATACATTTTCTAGTGTGCATAAATTTTGTTTGATGCTATATTTTGCATTTTAACTAAACTAATTTTTAAGAAAAAATAGAAAAAATACAAATAAACAACATGGGAACCAAAAGTCTATAACCATAGTTATGAAGGTTTTCTTCTAATTACAAGAAAGTATTGTATATTTTCCTACCTTTAAGCTTAAAAAATGTTTTAATAACTCATATATTATAATATTTAATGTTGGTAGAGGTGCTGTCTCTGCTGGTGGAAATAAAGACTTTTATCCACTTCCCTGAAGTTCAATTTATGATATGTAGTAAGAACATTAACAGTGTTCCTGAGCATCTAATTAATGGAAATAGTCATAAATTCATATAAATATTATGTCAAATGAAATATACATTTTAAAGCTATTTATATATAATAAACGGCAGATATGACCAAAAAGTTTAAACTAAGGAGGTGGTTAAACTACCAATGCTATCTCTAAATAATAACACAGTATGAAATTATAGCTTTTTCTAAGACCCTTTAAGGACATGGTAAAACATTCAGTATTTAACGCTAACTGACAAAATATCCAGCATGGAGGTTTTTGTATTTTTTTTTTTTTTTTCAGACAGAGTGTCGCCCTGTCACCCAGGCTGGAGTGCAATGGCGTGATCCTGGCTAACTGCAACCTCTGCCTGCCAGATTCTCCTGCTTCAGCATCCCGAGTTGCTGGGATTACAGGTGCATGTCACCACGCCCAACTAATTTTTTGTGTCTTTAGTAGAGACGGGGTTTCACCATGTTGGGCCAGGCTGGTCTCAAACTCCTGACCTCGTGATCCACCCGCCTGGGCCTCCCAAAGTGCTGGGATTACAGGTGTGAGCCACTGCGCCTGGCCCAGGATGGAGTTTTACATACCCTATAACACTAATTTTAATTTAACATGTAAAACAAAGTATGGAAGAAAATATATTCAATAATAATAGTAATTTTCTCTATGTCTATATGCTTATTCATTTCTATTTGGGTTTTGTTTTTGTTTCTTTTAAACTAGTTTTTCACATTTCACATTTTTAATAATGAATTTCTTTTATAATTAAAAAATTTAATAGTTAAAATAATCTAAGATCTAAATAATATGTATCATGTGTCCACACACACAAGTTAAGTTGGACATTTCACTGTTGCTTTCCATGTGGTACAGAATGTTTTTTGCAATGTTATAAACTACTGCTAAGCAATTTTCTCACCATTAGTTTAACTACGGTTACAATTGTTTGTGTCTGTAGCAATTCAATATAAATAGTTTTACAAAAATTGCAGGAAAATACCCCATAAGAATAGTGGTAGAAATGCTATTAAGATGTTGAATTATGTGTATTTTCTCTATTTAAAAAATCTTATTGTATGTTGCCATAGCATTTATAACGTCATATTTTATTAGAATAGAAAAATGATAGTATTCTAAAAGGTAAATAGCACTTAACCCAAAGATAATGTTTATAAGAAATTTTCTATGCTAACAAAATTTAGAATTTAACACTAGAAGTCTAGAATCAAACTAATATAATAAATTATCCTATCTTTATTAATAAATGTCTTGTTAATAAATTCAAATTTTTAATGTTGCTCCAATGTGAAGTACTGTCTCTATGGCAGTTCCAGTAGTACTAAGGATTAGCCTTTTAAAAATATTTATAAAATAGCCTACATCTTTAGGAGTCTCATAGCTCAGAGGAGAGGGACAGACAAATTGAAAAATGATTACCACCTAGTATGATCAAACACAAATATATCCTAACTAGAGAGGCAACAAAGAGAGTGCAGGGAAATTTTGAGGGGAGAAGAAGAGCTATTAAATAATTACTTTCAGGGGGCTGCAGTTAGGGTGGGACTGGAAGTTGCTTTTTGTTAAAGCTGCAATTGATATCAGTGTTTGGGTGGTATTTGCTGGACAGTCATTATTTCCAGAACTAGACCTCAAAATAAAAAAAGAGTTTGAAAAACAACAGAATTTTCTCATCTTTCTTAATTCCACTAATATGGCTAAGCACTTATTTTGAAAGAGATACAGAAACATGAGTCACCTGGAATAGGATCCACAGAGTGGACATACCCTCAATGCCCCTTTGCATTTCTTTCTCTGTTCTAACTTAGAAAAAAAAGAAAGAAAGAAAGAAAGAAAGAAAAAGAAAGACCTCAAAATTCTATGATAAGCCACATTTAAACAGTGTCAACTTCAGAAGACATCAGGAGGAAGCTGTGTGTCTCTCTTTTCCTAAACTGGAGGAAACTCACAGGACCCATGACTCATCTCAGACAGTGAAAGCTTCCTGGCAAGCATGCTTGCATTAGAACATGGGAGTGAGAGATGTTGGGATCCCTTGGCTTCCCTTCCCCTCAGTGACAAGCTATCCTCTTGAACTTACTGCATTCAAAGATGTTCTTTCTTATCGTTCATAGAAAATTTTACAACAGCCAAAGAGAAAATGTCTTAGACTCCACATTCATCAATAGTTTGCTTACATGGAAAATTGTATTTTATGAAAGGTGACTCATGTGTTTATGCAAGCATATCTAAGTATTCGTACTGTCCAATGTGGCAGTTAATGATAAATCCTTTGAACAAATGTGTTTTTGCATTTCTACACATGTAACACATAGAGTTGCAACTGAACTAATAATTTACATTTTCAGATGTTTAATCTTTCCTAGCTAATTGACTTCTTGGGCTGGGTCTTGGCTGAAATCTGCAGAGCCAAATTCTCCTACTGCCAAAGCTACTCCCTAGTAGGGTTAGAGACTTTTGGAAGTTGCATTACGATTTCTTCAGGCTTCCAGACTGACTGTTTTGAGAAGGGCTCATAACTACATTAGACAAGGCGATACATCTTTAAATCGGAATATTTTTTGACTTAAAATGAAAACATACATTAAGTTTCTTAAATAATGAACTGAAAATTCTCCTTTAAAAAAGAAGCTTAAAAATTCTTTCTATTCTAATTTGGTTGCTTTGAAATGTAAATACCTTTTTTTTAAAAAAAAACAAGCAAATTCCTTTATAGTACCAAATTACTCACTATGTTCCATGATGACTCATATTAACCCTAGAATCAGGAAAAAGCAATGTAGGATAGTGAAAATATGCATATTTTCATATATTTCTATGTCAAATTCCATTTCTATCACTTACCAACTATGTGTTTTGGGGAAATTTTTTAACCTCTCTGCTTCAACTTCCAAACAAGAAACTAGAAATTATATTTAGTGAGATAATATGTATAAAGAACTTATTTTAAAGCAAATACGTAACAAACAGTAACTATATTGACTTATACTGATAGTTAAAAATGTCATGTTTTAAGCTAATTGGAAAAATCTCAGGTATCAGAAAGCCATTAGGGAATGAGTTGTGTTATAGGGTTCAAACTTTTAAAAAATCATTATTTCAAATATAAATCTTTCTAAAATTGCTTTATATATTTTGTCCCTTCATTAGAATAATCTCATTCATTATAATCTAGTATTTTCTTAATAACTTAAAATTTTAGATTCTGCTATTTTCTAGGCTCTTCTGAGGTTTGCAAGGCGTTGCCCTTGCACTAAGTAACATTACATTGAGATGTAGCATTGTGTTTAACATTATTTTAAAAAATTGTTATTAGTAGTAATGAGACCTGAAAGAGCTATTTTTACTCCTAAAGCAGACAATCTTTCACTGAGAGAATGAAATGGGCATAGGGAAAAGCCTAGATATTACTATATGATGAAATTTAAAAATGTTCCAATTGAAAATATTTTGGGGGAAAGCTGTTCTGTATGTAATGACAGAACAGCTAGAATTTAAAGTTTCCAAAGTTTAAATTACACTCCAATATTTCAATTTAAAGAGAAAGATTATAAGCGAATGGTAATTTCTCTAATTGAGTTACCATAAATATTCCTCCAACAATGACAATATTTTACATTAATGTGCATGTTTATAAACAATACACTAAGTTCTTATTCTATTTAGCCCTATCAAGTTTCTATCTGAAAAATATTTTCTCACATTTTCTACGCAACCATTCCTTAAGATTACATAGAATGATGTACTTAGAGTTTAAAGACAGAGCAAAAAAACTTTTTGATTTTTCTGTTTTGCTTTTCTAAATTTCTTACCAAGAAATTTCTTATGATGAGAATCTGACCTAATACAATTATTTCCAAAAGGAGAAATTTTCTCTACATTTTCCAGTGATTTAATCAGAGTACATTGGCATATTCACTACTGCAAAAGCCAAGAAATCCTATATGGATTATCTCAGTGCCATAGAAATGAAAAACTAGAAGGTATTCAGACCATTATTTAGAGTGATTTACTTACTCAGTATGATCATATTTTCCAACTTCAAGCTTAGTTAAAAGCAACTTAATTTCAACATTTTACTGAAATACAAAGCCAGATTTTCTCACTGGCCAAAAGACATGGCCAGCTGGAATTATAGAGCCCATAGAGGACACTTTAATACCATTCGACCACAGAAATTTTGTTTAGAAAGTTTCCTCATCTACAAAGCTAGCTTTCTCAGGACCTTTCTTCTAATAAAGAAATAGATGAATCTAAGTTAGTATTGAAACATACACTAGACAAAGAACATTCCAATCACCCTGAGAAATAGAACTAAATTCACCCCTTCTCCTGGGGAAGATAAAATGTCAGTGTTTGAACTCAGGAAGTTATAGAAGCTTCCAGTGATATCATGGATTAACTTGCTTTGTGGCTTTGCTTTGAGCCTAAAGTCTTTGCTACTGGCCTAGGAATAAGTCCTGAGCCCCTTTAGCCACCACCTGGGTAAGGACAACAGTGAGTACCTGCATTAGTCAGGGTCCAATCACAAGACAGGAACTATGTGGAAATTTGAACAGAGGAAGTTTAATATAAAAATTACTAGCTATAACAGAGCGTTAAAGTAGTAAGGGATTGGCTAATAAGAGGTAAAGAGTGTGCTACAGAACACAGGTGTAGAAGAGCTAAGGAGCAACCACTATCCTCAGGGCTGAAAGAGAGAACCCTACCAAGAGCCTCTCACTCATTGCCCCAGGGCTGAGATCCAGACCTTGGTGGAGGGCATGGTTATGGATGGCAGAGAAGTTCTGCCACGCATACTCATCTATCCTCTAGGGTGCTGGGCAAAGGTGGTTTGCCTGAGACACTGTGCTACAAAATCACTTGCTGCTGAGTACTGAGGATAGCTGTGCAAGTGCTGGGGAAGTTGTCATACTCAAGGAGCCTGGTGCTGGGGACGCTGTGCACTGCAGGAGCCTGGTGCTGGGGAAACTGTGCATACTCAGGAGCCTGTTGCTGGAGAATACATGCACTGCAGAAGCCAGGCACTAAGGAAGCTGTGTGTCCTGCATGACCTAGGCATGCTGCAGGAGTCTGCTGAGAGAGCACACTAGAACTAGAAAAGACTATTGCTTCCTCCTAGAAGGACTTTTCCATGTCTCCTACTGACAAAAACTTAACATCATGCCAGACAGCAGGGGGAGTAATTATTTAAAAGGCTTACTTATATTTTTGCAAAGCAGATAACAAAGGGTAAATCTGAAGCTGACAGGTAATAAATTGATAACTGACAAAGAACCTCAGAGACGAAGCACCTTCTAATGTTATGCTGAGAGCCAGGTCACTGTCACCATGGGTGTGAGACCCTTTCTATATCCTGGGTGAAGCCTCAGTAGTTGATGCTCTGTGACTGCCCTCTTCCCCATGTGCCACTGAGTTATTCTTATGTTCCTAGGCTTCTCCTTTCCTCCTTTTACAAAAATGCTCGAACCTCTATCAGGAATAATGTGTTCAATGTCTGCCACTGTAAAAACAAAACAAAACAAAAAAACTTTTTTCTGTCTGGATTTATTTCAATCAAGTGAGAAACAGTGTACATGTATCATGCGCCTATTATGTGTCAGGCACTCTCAAAGGTACTTCTCTGTCTTGTTTTATCTTTAAAGAATGTAGGTATTTCAACCCCATTTAATAGAGGTTCATTAACATGGTTCAGATTAATCAGCTATTAACTATATGCTTAATGTTTTATGTGAATTTAATTATCCACTTATAAACTATGTAAATTTTGGAAAGTTAATTAAGCCTTTGATGCCTCAGTTTCCTTGTTTGTATAGTAGAGATAAGGGTAATATTGACCTCATACAGTTGTTGCAAGGATTAAATTAGATAATGGTCCAAAGTTCTCAAAACTATGCATTGCACATTATATGAGCTCAGTAAACACAAGGAAGTATAGTATTAGTGGTGGTGGTGATATAAGTTGCAGTAGTATTCAGGCCCAGATCTACAGACCTCTGAAGCTCATGATCCTTTTCTCATGCATTACTGCTAACCATTTTTTCCTTTTTTACACAATCAGTTTCTACAGAGTGTAGCTCTAATTCTAGAGGTCTGAAGCACATAAAGGACTCAGTGGATGGATGTTATGAGAAAACTGCGTTAACTCTACTAGGATAAGCATTTCAGAAATAGACATCATAAGAAATTGTCATGTCAATGAAGTTTGTATTCTAATATATCCCTATTCTCTCCTCTCATCTCCAATACATGCTCTCCATCTTTAAACCAGCTCTCAGGCTCTCGTTAGGCTGTGGGTCTCATGCCTGGTAAGAGCCAAGCTTATAATCTTATCTTGGATCCAGGAACAGTGAGATTAAAACCTATAGTAAATAAAAGATGTTCTGAGAAGCCCACTGCCTTTCCAGTAACAATGGGACAGTTCAAACCTTTGGCCATATTTGCCTCCTTCTTTCTTTCTTACCCTATACAACAAATAAGTTGAGGTTTCTAGTTTGGCAGTTTATTATTGGCAGGAAGGTTAAGCATAATCCTCAGATCTGCCTTTGGCAGGAATTATCCTGTAAGGTCAATATGAGCAGCTTTCAAAATGGCTGGTTCCAGTAAATCTTGTTACTATTGAAGCTCTAGGTTCAGTGTATCAACTCATAGAGATGTGTCCTATCTCTGCCACTTAGCAGGTATCTAGCCAAAAGGGTTACTTAATCACTCTGAGGCTCATTTGTTTATAATATATGAATAATAATAGTAACTACCTTAAAGGGTTTTGTGGACAAAGATTTATAAACTATTTACATTCACAGATATTTGCAACTGTGCCTAGACCACTGTAAAGTACTCATGATACAGGCCAGCTAGTTATTTTACAAACTATTTTTCTCCTCTGGAATATAAATCTAAACTACCATTCCAAACTTCCTTTATGTGTGGCCAAGGACTGAAAATTCAAAATGGACAGAAGTAACATATAGCACATCCAGGACTGACTTGTGAAAACCTCTTGTGTTATTTTCCATTCTCTTCCTCCATCTGCTAGCTGGATGTAGACATCCAGCAGAGGACGCCAAGGCCCTGGGATTGGTAGACACACAGATGGAAAGATGCTGGGCTCCGAAGCACTGCATGAAGGCTGCCTGCCAAATCCCCACATTGAAAATCATTTGAGTGAGTACATAGAACTCTACTGTATTAAGCTACTTAGGTTTTGGGCTTCTTTCTTAGAGCAATAATCAATGACATTCTGGAAAATGTTTAAGAATCAGCACTCTGAAAAATGATTCCTGATTTGTAGTGTTTGCCAATTTCCATGGTGTAAATACTCCCACCATGGCCAATTTCAAGTTACCAATGTGACATTACTGAATGTGGAGTTGCAAAAAGATGTGCATAATTAGTCCTCATGAGCTAGTGAGCACCAGCTCCAGGACACCATACTCAAAGTAATCATTTCGTGACTAATATTGCACTCAATAAATAGCAATGCTTGTTGCAGAGTTGTTATGTAAGTTAAACTTTAAAATAAATCTTAAGCCAGTAATAACTGATGGAATATAGGGATTTTTGTACTTACTGACCATAAATTGAAGTCTTTGTCTTGTAACCTGAATTCCTACTTCGGCCTGTTGCTGTTGTTTTATGTTTGTTTGCTTGTTTTTCCATATAAGTACTAATAGCATAAAAGAAAGTGAAAGAAAGAATTCAAATTCTGACCAATATATTCTGGCGCCACGGAACACATGGAAGGTAGTTTTCTCATATATATATTTCATGTATATTTCTCCTGAAAATATGCCAAAAATTACCTAACAAGGCAAATCAAATAAATGAACACTCTAAAGTCTTGAGACAACAAGGAAACAATTAGCCTATACTTTGCTGTCCTTCTGGATTAGCCTTTAGAATTTCTTCTTTTGTTTACCCTTCCTTCTGGAATTAAAAATTCATCAAGGATAAATAAGCTTCATCCATAAGGCATTATATCCTCTCTGTTGGTGCACAGGCCCTGGTCAGGTAGTAGATCTCCTTACAAATTTATCTTTTCATGGGTTTAACATAGGAAATGATCTGTTTGAATTAATTTATTTTTTTATAAAATATGGTTTTCAAAATGTTCAAATGCTGGTATTGTTATGTTAAACAGAACACTCTTATCTATTTGCACTTTTATGTTGGAAATGACCTGCATTGGTGTACTTTATTTTTTGGGGAGCCAAAGACAATCCTAAAGAGAAAACTGTATAATTTTTGTTGTATAGTCGTTCAATAAAAATCGCTTGTCATCCAGTAAAGTTTGTGATTTGCCTTGTATTTAAGAAAATAAACAAACCTACAAACATAGCATATTAAAGGGATCTACTCTCTTTTCCACCAACATCACATCATTCGCACAGGCTGTCACTGGGTTCTCCAGAAGGGGTGTGTGAATGTTAAGTGAACATCCAGACTGTTTTTGGGATGAGCCGCACTGAGGTTCTTCTCTGCGTCTGGGTGTCCACAGAGTCCACAAGTGTTTAGAAGAGGAGAGGATGAGCACTTAAAGGAGCGCCTGCAGCAGGCACCATCCCATGTGCAGCCTCAATCATTTCTCATAACTGTCTTATGCAAATGATAGTATTATTGCTATCTTATAAATGAAAGACTGAGATGAGAAAAAAAATAATACATCCCATGGTCGCAGAACTTAAAAGTATTGAGCAGGGATTTCAATGCAATTTTGTTAGATCTAAGGCCCATTCTCTTTATACCATACCACTCTTACATTCTCTAAAGCTAAAAAATCTCAATTAAAAAATGAATTCCAAAGAAAAGAGATGCAAAATTTCCTTTGACCAAGCAATTGTGAGAAAAATAAGTTATATATTTCCATGTAAAGTATAGTGTAGGTGGAAGTATACTTTAATATGCAGAGAGTTTTTCCTTAATAGGTAATTTAGAGAAACAACAAAACATTTAAATTTAAAAAAACACCAAAATTCTGATCAAATTATTTAATTTTAAAACAGATTCTTAGCTTTATAGCATACTCAGGTTTTCTTTAAATAACCAAATCTGTTAGTGTGTTGAAAACATTATTGTTGGCACAACTTTAATTAGTGAAGTTTTAATGAACACCCTTTACATATGCATCCTTGTGCATAAAATCACTTTATTAACTTGAAGAGTGCAAACTAATAGGCAGTTTTAAATGCCATTTATGATCAATTGTAAAAACAGATAAGAAAATGAAAATTCAGAGAGTTTAGGGAGGTTTTTCAGTCACACAGTTAATAAGTACTGGGCTTGGATTAGAAGCCAAATTAATCCAATACCAGAGCCCTTTAGCTTTACCATAGTGCACTTCCCAAACACAACAGCATCATCATTATTTTTATAATATTCTCAATGATAGAACAAGAATATCACCATCTTAACGAGACTGCACCATCTTAAAGTATCAAGTTTCCATTTCTCAGAACTGTCTGTTGACACTTGGCCAAACTGCAAATGTCAACGCTGACCATAGCTTCAACAGAACATAAGGGCCCTAACTGTAACAGAACAGCCAGCACTTTCCCAACCCCTCCCTAACAGAATCTTGCTTCAAAGCACACTTCTCCACCTGGCCCTTTAAAAAAGCCTCAGGCTGTAAGAAAAGTTTGCTCCTGACCCTGCCAGCCAGAAGCCCTTCTCAGATTTACTGTCAATAAACCTGTCTCAACTATAGATCTGCCTTCTTGCCTCTTCTTTCCTTAATCTTTCTATTCCAACACGCAACATACATATTTCCACTGCCCCATTTTAGTAATGGTGCCAGCAATAAACCCTCTGTCTTCATACTCTGGCTGAAGCCAATCTCCTCAAAACAAGAGCGGTAGAAAAGAGTTTCTACCGCTCTTCACCAAGGCCCATCTTTCCTTTACATCCTGCCTCCTCCACAGAACCTTCCTTGAATACATTAAACTACAAGAAACTCTTGTCTCTGGACTGCCTTGGTTTTATTTTACCCAAAATTTAATTTGTCATTCAAATTATTGCTTATATTAGTCATTATTCTATTTTTTTCCATTTTGAATTCTTAACGTGGATTGTATATTTAAATGTGTGCAGGACTGGTCACTGTATGAAATGTTCTACATCTTCTACAAGGAAGCATATAACACGGGGGTGCCGAGAGGGATTGTATTTACTCAGGTGCTCAAAAAACAAATGTTGAATGAATATTATCTAATTATTGGTGAATATTCTGGGTTATGAAATCATCAAGGGCACAACAGTCAATGCATACAGCATTAATTTAGTCACTGGTTCATAACAATAATTGAATTCCAGTGATGTGCCAGCCATTAAGCATAGATGCTGCTATGTATAAGTCATAAGAGGATTGGAGAATTCCAGGCAGTTATACAAGCTAGGCAAAACCCAATGCAGGCCTTAACTAAGGCAGTGTGCGGGAGGGTGGAGAAGAAAGCATAAACATGAAGAATTTCCTAGGCCTAATAACTGATCAGATAGTCAGAGTACAGGGCAGAAAACAGCTTAGGAAAACCCCCAAGTTTGTAGTCTGGGTCTCCAGACTAAACTAAAGTGATGATGAAGTACACGTAAAAAGCAGGGCTAATGGGATTGACCATTAGTTTAATTTAGGAAATACTGAGGATAGGACCCAAGGAATATCCAAATAGACCTAGATAGTCTTGATAATTGTAGAGCTGAACTTCTTTGGAGTGGCAAGCCTGAAATAAAGGTTTGAAGTCATCAATATATAGTTAGCAGTTAAAACTCTACAGGTGGATGAGATTGCACAGAACGAGTATGAAGGACCAAAGAAAAGTGAGTCTGGTAAGGGACTCAAGAGAACACGAATACTTAAGGAACAGGTAAAGAAAGAATTGTCAGAGAAAGAAACTAAGTAGGAACTTTAAAAACAAATAGTGGCAGAAGCAGGAAAAAGATGTCTTCCTCGACATTCATCTTTCTTATTCCACTCAATGGATGTTTAAAATTGTTTGCATTCTTCTCAACAGGGACACTACATTTGTACACCTCTAGGGGGTGCCATTTACATAGGATGCAATGTAAATGGCCCGTTCAGGGAACTGGCAGCTCTATGACCGTATGTTTTCCCCAACCCCTTTACCATTCGACTTCATGCTCATGAACAAGCATTTGTCTTAATTTACAGACATTAAGAACAAGCTTTCCACTCCCACTTCCCTCCCACTATCACCTCAACCTCTTCATCCACTTTAAAGAGGTTTCTTTAGGTCCTCTGCATATCATGGAAGCCAACTACTCTATTAACGCTTTCCCAATGATGCAGCCCAGTTCTGCATACAGTTTGTACAGAAATGCTATATTTATGGAAACAGCTGAAAAATGAAATATCGATATACCCCTAACAGTCATTTCTACAAAGGTGCTTTGTCAGTTCATTTGGGGCTTGCCATGATTGTGGTGTATTTCTTCTACTGTAATGATAAAATGTTCAAAAGGATCATCAGATAGAGAACTCTGTACGTGCTCTATATGAAAAGATGTTCCCTTAAAGATGCTGTTCTTAATGTGCAGTGTGAAATGCTTGCAGCTTTTATGATGTCTTAGATGGGAAACATGTTTTACTGCATACCAGAGTAGCAGACGTCAACTCACTCTTCAAATTGAGAACAGCTTTTCATTTTGTTCTGTTCAACAATTTCTGGGTCCTAATTCAACCCTTCCCTCCCTCCATCCTACCTCCCACTACCATGAATTTGTACTAGCAAAACAATGTCACAAGCTGCTGCTTCTAACAGCAAGGACAATATGTGCGAGGTGACAGGAGGAAGATTTTGGAGACAGGAATCTACCATGCTCTCTCTCCTTTTATATACTAAGAATAAAAAAGGGGAACTGGAAGGTGAAATATTTATTACCTCAACATTGCTGATTGAACGCAATCCACAGGAAACCCAGATGTCCAGAGAAGTAGATCAGAGAGGGAATATCATGGGCCTGTAGAGCCAAATTTTGATTTCTAGCCTCCTGTGTAAGTAAAAAAAAAAAAAAAAAATGACCATCTGTGAGGTTATTAAAACCCGATATGGGAGCATCTCTCACAATCCTCTTCCAAGTGCTACTTCCTTATTTTCTGATGACTAGTAAAACAAGTTTATTCCTTATAAACTTTACATATCACTGAAAGTTTCAATTTGATTTATATAAAATTTTGACATATTAGAATAAATTGGTGACTTTGTACTTCTTAGAGAAAAAAATTCAGATCTCATTTCATTTTGTAATTGAACACAAACTTTGAACCAAATACTATTAATATATCTTAAACACAAAGTTGATGGAGACTAAACATGGTATAACACAGACATTCTCTTTATAAATGTTCTCTGCTGGTGAAAGAGACTTTTGGTTTTGTTTTCAAAGAGAAGAGAGCCCACACTCTAAATGTAATCCTCAAAATTAGGAGGCCTGAGTTCTAATCCCAATCCCAAATCTGGATGAGTCTGTAACTTTCTGTACCCCATGCAATTCCACAAATGCAAAATAGGAAAGATATATTAAGTTTGCTCCAAAGAGCCATTACAAGCAGAGGTGAAGTAATTGGTGTGAATGTACATTGGTTTCCTCAAAGAATGGTGAAGAAATGCAAGACAATGAAAATTTTTTTTTGCAACAATGGATAATTATTTTCCTTCAGCTTTTTTAGATAGCCAAGTTTAAAGTCAGTGATGCCCATTTAAGAAGCAAAATCACAGAAACATTCAGGAAAATTTGGAATCAATTTATTTAAAGACATGTTCTCTGCAGCTGTTGTTCATTAGGATACTTTTATTGACGTGTCCAGAAATCTTTCCTAGTAGTTTAGGCATGTGGGGGCTTTGAGCCCTATGAAGTATAGCAAATTGCAGATGAATTGGTCCAGAAGTGTAGGTTTGCTTTAAAAAAAATGCTTTGTAAAATAGAATATTCTCAAGGGAGCGATTGGTTTGGGGGAGGGAAGTATGTACTGACACTTAAAAGATCCTTGACCTTCTGGAATGCACATCTAAACTTCTGCAACAGTAGCCCAAAAGGACTGAAACTCAGTGTCCAAAACCACTTTTAACAAAGCCAGGTTTCTCCAAGGATCCCAAACCAAACGATCCAGGGATAATTAGTTTATAATAAGGCAATATTTTTTTAAGAGACCTGTATTTTTTTTTTTTGAGCAGGCTTTGTTTTGGTGTAACACAAATTTTTCAGGTCTCAAGAAGTACAGGAGTTTGCCAGGTGAACTTGGAAAAAGGTGGAGAAGGGAAAAGAGGAATTTATTAGATGGACTAGCATATTCAAAGACATGGAGGCTCTGAATACAGAGCTATTTTGGAAGAACTATAATCATTAATTAATTTATTTATTTGTTCACTTATTCTTTATTCTTCACGCATATACTGAGCTCCTACTACATGCTGGGTACCACACCAGGTAACTGATACAATACATAACTGGCATCAAGCAATTGTGAATACAGTGGAAGAGATGGACATACAAATAATTTGAATATAGTGGGTTAAGATTTAGATGGAGAAAAGAATTAGTCCTTTTCTCAGTGGTGGAGAAAAGAGAAAGGAGAGGGGGAAAGGGGTGGTATCAGCAAGAAAAGACTTCCCAGGAAAATGTGGCACCTGAACTGTGTCCTGAAGAACAAAGAAAATGTAGCTATGTGGAAATTGGAAGGAAAGAGTCTTCCAGGTAGAGGATCAATATAAGGAAATGACCCAAAGCTAGAGAAAATTGGTGGGATGCAAAAATTACAAGTAGTCCTGGTTGGAGGTTTTAGTATGTGGGAAGGGGTGATGGTGGGGGCAATAGATGAGAGAAAAGGTGTGAAGATAAAGTAAATAGAAGAGACAGATGGGAAGGGGTGAAATCCCATACAGGGCCTTGAATGTCATAATCAGTTAAAGAATTTGGGTTTGAAATTGTATTGGAAGGCCTTTGGCAGGGGAGTATGTTGATTGAATTAGCTTTCAGGAAAGTCTCTCCCTAAAGGGTGGGGTAAGAACATCAGTGGGGAAGACCAGGGAAGGTTAGTGCTGAGCCTCTACATATGGGCTACAAAGTTAGAAGAAAGTTAGTGAGGCCCAAGCATCCATAGGACTTAGAGCTTTGCAGTATTTTCCTCTGGCCACTCCCACTGACTCTCCCTGAAGGCTCTGTCCACCATTCCTGGAGCTCATTATGATTATAGCACACGTCTGCCTGTTCATTTAAGTTGAACTATTTGAAAGGAGCAACTGTGTTGTAGTGGCTGCTTTGTTTCTGGGGCTTAGAGTCTTCAAGAGTAATTAGCGATAGGAGAAGTGGAAGTCACGGGAGGAATAGAGGTAGGCTGTGCACATAATAGGTGTTTGGAAATGCCTGCTGAAGTGAACTGATAACTCTCACGGGCATTCTCACTTGATAATGAGGCTTCAGAAAAGCAGGGACCTTGAAAAGAGACAAGATCTGGCTGTTATCTGATCCTGCTGAAGTGAAGGTAACATCTTCCTTTTTGGATTGTGACTGGATAATTAGATGTAATATATGAAAACGACAAGGCAGGTTTTTAGAACCTGAATACATTGTTGATTTTATTTGTAAATAAACAATGAGAAGAGATGATCAATCCCTTTCATCTCCCAGTTTCTGAAATAGGCTCTCCTCGACTCTCTACCTCTAGTAGCCCTGCTCTCCCATCTACTTCTCCACAGCTAATGACTTGTTTCCTGATTTACTAAAATATGAAAGTTATTACAGCAGAACTCATTTATCTTCCCACAACCCAAACCACCCAACCTCCTATATCAGTGCCCATACTCCCTGTCTTCATCCCGTCACCTGGGATGAAGTGTGCTTGTCTCTGTCTGAGGGCAACACCCTGACTTGTGCACTGGATCTCATCTCCATTGACTACTTGACAGTCCTGTAATTAATCTTTTTCCTGCACCATCAACTTTTCTTTCTCTACAGCATCATTTCCATCATCCTAGAATCACACTATAATATCTCCATCTTCAAAAACAAACAAAAAAAACTGTCTTTTGTCTTCAAATCCCCATGGGGCTAACACCTCATATCTGCTGTCATTCTTGAACGATTTTCTTAACTTCTTTCTCCTCATTCCTTCTCACCTCACTTTCTGTCCTTCATCTCTTCTAACTGGGATCCTGTCTTGCCATACCACTGAAGCTGCGGTTTTCAATCATCAATGCCCTCTGAGCTGTCAAATCCAACAGCTTCTTTAGTTTTTGCCTTGACCTCTCAGAAGCATTCAGAATAAATAAATTTTTGAAACTCTTTTTTCTGTTCTTACTTTCGTAAAGCCACTCTTTGCTGATTTTGCCCCCACCCCATACCTTGCTCCTTGTCAGTGACCTTTGCTGAATTATTCTCCTCCACCAAATCTTTAAATGAAAGAATACCCAATGCTAACTGACTGGTTCTCTTCTCTATTTGAGTTTTGGTGATTATATAGAGCCTATAGTCGCATATAAATTCTAGGTAATCTCATCCAGTCAACAGTTTGCAAAACTATCCCTTTGCTGATGGCTTCTACACTTATCTCTCCAGCAATGAAATCTCTCAATTGCCTACTTGACTTTTGTACTTAGAGGTGTAATGGGTATCTCAAAATTTGCAAGTTAAAAAAGAAAGAACTCTTTATTCATTCTCTTAAACCCAGTCCTTATTATCTCAGTAAATGACTCCTCCATATCTAATTGGTATCCTTGACCATTCTTTTACTCATCTGTGCAAACATTCCATGAGCAGGTTCCATATTTGTTCATTACTTTCTCCATCCAAAGATGCCATTCTAATTCATGTCCCTCCATCTCTCTCCTGGACCACTGTAATAACCTCTTAAATAGCATCCCCATCTACTTCCACTTCCTCATAATCCATACTCCATACAATTCCAAGAGTGATATTTTCAAAACTTAAATAAGCGATGTCTGTCCCAACCGTAAAGTTCTTTAGAGACATTTGATAGCACTTAGGATCAATCTCGTACCCTGGTGTAAATATCCTACTTCATCTGGCCCTGGACCAACTTCTTTCCTCCTTTAGGACTACTTGTAACCTTACCTCATACTCTAAGTCTCTTTCATTTCATGAAACACACAAAGCTCAGTGTTCCTCGTGGTTTTTCTGCATGCCTGGACCTTGACAGGGCTACCTCTTAGCCAAATGTCACTCAAAGACAGCCCATTGTGTTGATCACACCATCCTCTAACAGCTCTCTACATGGCAGCCTCATGTTATTTGCCCGTATTTACATTTATCTGACCACCCAACTCTCACCTAGGTTTTTTGTCCATCTTTTTACAACTATGTATCTTCAACACATAGAACAGTTCTGAGCACATAGTGGGGACTCAGAAATAAGTATTGAATGAGCCAACTGACCTTCTTTTTGGGCTAGAATGGACCTCTGAGATCAACTCAGCCCCGTAACCTCATTTTACAGATGAGGAAACTGAGGCCTAAAGAGGAATAGTTGTTTACTCAGAATCATTTGTTGGCAGTATGAAGGCTCTTTCCAGTTGATGCCATTAGAATCCTCTTTATTTGAAATAATACCAGAGCCCTGCATGTAAAACAACAATACACACAAACCCTATTCCATTTTCTGTGAAAGTGCCTCATGGGACAGGTCAGGTCTACATCCTGGTCTCAGCAATGAACTCTGATGGGAGGCATGTCTCCTAATAGGTAATCTCTAAAATTCCAAAAAGGCCTAAACAATAAAAAGCTAGGCTTCTGGAAGCCCTGGGCAACCATAGGTCTCAAAATGGGTAGATTCCACATTTATGTCAAGAGAGGACAAATGCTGAACTTTGTCAGAGTGATCGAAAACACATGTGTTGTCTTGCTTCATGTCCCAGGGAAGTTGGCTAAGACTTAGCTTTTAGTTTCCATTTCTTCCACCTTAAAAGACCAAACATGTGCACCCTGGCTGCATCCCAGACATTTGAGCAATATAAGGCTGGAGAGTTAGGGTCAAAAAGAAAAGCCTTGAATGTCAAAAGAAGGTGTTTGGCATTTTGAATTTCTTTTCTGTGAAGTCAGCAATCTGCCATTTAAAATTTAAAGCAGAAGAGATGTGACCAGGTCTATATTTCAACAGGATTATTCTGCCTATATTTGTGGAGGATGGATTGGAGGAAGATAAGATTGACAATGAGGGGGCCAACTAGAAAGTAGTTATTCTGATCTAAGCAAGAGATAAGAGGGAGTGAAGGGAGAAATGGCATTAGAAATAGAGGTAAGTGGACAGATTTGAGGTATAACCATACTCAGTACATCTGATTAATAGGACTTGATAATTTTTCCTTGTTTCCAGATGCAGCCATGAGTTAATTTCAGGCCAGTGAAAAGAAAGCGGAAACAATGTGTACAACTTTCAAATCATCTTCTCAAGGATTTCTATCCTGGGTTCTCTAGCCCTTTCTACTATCTAAAATTTTGTAGCAGCTAAGGCAATCTTAGAAGCCACATTTACAGAATGGCAATGCCTCCTTTTTATTTTCAAGTTTTTACATGAAAAGGAAACATCCTTCTCTTTTATTTAAATCCCTGTAGTTTTAGATTTTCTAATAACTTTTTCTTGAAACTTTGTGTTCCCTGTCTGTATTCTAACTTATCCTCTCATCCATTCCAACCCAGGCACAGGAGAAAGAGCATCTGCAAATCCTGAAGGGACAGTAGTAAGAGGGGTTCCTGCGAGGACTTTAAAGAGCCACTAAACACAGGAACCAGCAATTAAAGGCACTCCATGAAAACCTTGTTTTATAATTTCTTCAAGGAAAGTTGGAGAGGATGTTGTGAATTTTTGAAAGCTTAATAACATTCATATCCTTTGCTACACTTGTATTATTTAAGCCCAAATAATAAACCAGAGGTGTACACAAAGAGTACATAAAAGGGCATTTATTGCACTCTTATTTTTATTAGCAAAAAATCCCTGAAATCAACATATACACCTAACAACGTGCAATGACATGATTAAATAAATGTGATATATTTTTAAAGTGCGATACTCAGCACTCATTAGAATCATAATTCAGAAGAATACACAAGACTGTATTAGTCCATTCTCACATTGCTATAAGGAACTACCTGAGACTGCATAATTTATAAAGAAAAGAGGTTTAATTGACTCACAGTTACACAGGCTGTACCGGAAGCATGGCTGGGGGGCCTCAGGAAACTTACAATCATGGCAGAAGGTGAAGAGGAAGCAGACATGTCCTACATGGCTGGAGAAGGAGGAAGAGGGTGAAGAGGAAGGTGTTACACACTTTTAAACTACCAGGTCTCATGAGAACTCTCTCATTATCATGAGAACGCCCTGCAGGGTAGGGCTTTTAGCCAGAGCCTCTAGGAATCAATGTAATGGTACAATCACCACATTAAATAAATAAACCATCATTAACCATGATTCTCAGGGGATGGTTTGCATTCTGGAAAATTAATTTACTTTCTTCATTCACTCAGTAGATGTGTATGGAATGCCAGCTATATACCAGGCATGTTATAAGTGAGACAGAACAGTGATAAAAATGGCCAAAACCTCTGCCCTCATGGAGCTCACATTCTTGGAGTCTGGAGCAGACAATAGAAAGGTGAACACATAAAATATTCAGAATATAAGAAAGTGATAAGTGCTATGGAGAAAAATGGAGGAAGGCAGATCAGGAAGGGAACTAAGAAATGCCATGTTGAGAGGCAGGAGTTAGGAGTATAGGAGGGCTGTGTTATTTAAATAGCACAGTCACAGAAGGCCTCACTGATAAGGTGATAATTTACACAGAGATCTGGAAGAGGCAATTCTTATTGGCGCCTCAGTTTAAAAACAAAAGTCTTTTAGAAGTCCAGGTGTTATAGAAAACAAGGTATTACTTATATGATACTAATTTTCAATTTCACTAGTTTGCTGGGGACTGTATGCATTCTCTGATAGTTTCCCCATCTTCGCATAAATGTTTGGACTAGATGATGTCTGAGGACACTTCTGGCTCTTAAAGTTTCCGGTTTAAGCACAGGGGTGGAGATGGGGGATCATTCTGTGTTCCAACTATTAGACTCATACATTCATCCAACAAACATTAACCGAGAGCCAAATGTGTGCTGGGCTTGTAGACAGTACCGTTAACAAGGTTAGGAAGCTGATTCCACCTTCCAGAAGCTCCCAGTGGAATGAGGCAAACATGTTCATTGTGACTTGGAGGCTGTGCCTGCATTTCTCTGCTGCTGGCTGAGAAGCAAAGACTCTCTGCCCTCCGCTCCTCCAGCCATTCTGCACACTCATCCTAGGGAAGCCCAGGACCATCCATCACCCAGAGGCTAGGGCTGGGCACCACAGCCTCCCCAGGGCCCAGCCTCTCCCTTCAAGAGAAATGTTTCCTGGACGGGGGAACTGTCTCCGAGGCTGATGATGATGATGGATGGGCCAAGGAAAGCATTTTTCATCCTCAAGCAGCACACGTGTGCATTTTCACTCTGGGGCCAGGCTCTGGCTGGGATGCCTGCAGTTCCACGTTTTCTTAGCTGTTGTCACCTTCCCTCTTTCCTGACAAATGGACCCATTTCACAGCCTTAGTGACTCATGACTGCTTTAGGAAGTCTAGATTAACCTAGTGTGGCATAGGAGGAAAATGAAGACAATTATTTTTAACTTGACATCTTAAACCTCCATCTTCATCTTACCATGCCCCTGTGAAAAAATCTACAATGATTCTTTCTTGTGCTTGGGCTATGATCTAATATTCACTTCCATCTGGCTTAGACAATTCCAGCCTTCTCTCCCACTACTAAATTGTGCAGGCAGAACTCTATCTCCCAAACATGCCATGGATTTTTCTACGTTCACACCATATTCAAATGGTTTACTCCTACCAACCCCTTGCCCAACTATGAGACCTTCTCTGGGAAGCTGTCTCTGACTGCCCCAGGCCACTGTGATGTGTCCTTTGAGGGGTTACCCTGCACCAGCTGCACAAAGCCTGGGGTGCAGAGTGCTTTTTTTCAAAGATGAAAGTCTTAAATTGTCTGTGACTTCTGGGTCAGAGGAACCGTATCCTATCCATCCCCTCCCGGCCAACCGCACCAGGCCGGGTGCCCAGCACATGGAAGTTGTTGTATAAAATCTCATTAGCTGATTGATTCTTTCAGTGGTTCTCTCTAATTCCATCAGCAAGCTGGCAGAGGACCAGGTTTCATAGTTTAAGCCTTGATCAGCCTAAGATGAGACTATGTTTTACCAGCCCCAAGAACGTGATATAGGAACACCTGTGTCTGAACTCCTAGTTCAATGCTGATCAATAACTCCCTGAGTCAGGCATTTCTGATGCACAAAGAGCAACTTTCTAAACCAAAAACATCTCAGATTACTGGCTTTGCCACCAATTCTATTTTGCCTGTATAGATCTTCCTTAAATAATAGAGGCGTCTTTTTTTATGTCTGTAACTCTGCAAGCATTGTTTAAAAAACTCTACTTATAAGTATATAATTTAAAAAAGTTAAAGAATTTTCAGCATTTCTTCACAACAGCGGCTTTCAAACTCCAGGGTGAATCTGAATCACCTGGGGACTTGTTAAAGCACTGGTGTGCACCCGCCACTCCAGTTTTGGACTCAGTATTTCTGAGATGGGGCCTGATAATTTGTATTTCTAAAGAGTCTCAAGGCAATGAGGATGCTGCTGCTTACACGTTGAAAATCACTGCCCTATCCTAACACTTTTACTTCAAAATTTTTTTCCCAAGCACTTGTCTGCATGTTATTTTCCATAGTTATTATCCTAGTATATGAAATTTGTGCATTTTAATTTTTTTCTGAATTATAAAGAGTCTTCCCCCTGTCACCAAATAAAAGGACCTGTTGGAGTTTGGGGATAAGATGTCCCAAGAGGCACAATAAGAATTACTTAACTCTTCTACAAGGTGGAGCATTATTAAGAAAAATTTTTTTTTAACTTTTAGTTCAGGGAGGGGTACATGTGCAGGTTTTGTTATATAGGTAAACTTGTGTAATGGAGGTTTGATGTACAGATTATTTTGTCACCCAAACACTAAGCCTAGTATCTAATAGTTATTTTTTTTCTTCTCCTTTCTCTCCTCCCACCCTTCATCTTCTGGTAGGCACCAGTGTCTGTTGTTCCCCTCTATGTGTCCATGTGTCCTCATCATTTAGCTCCCACTTATGACAACATGCCGTATTTGGTTTTCTGTTCCTGCATTAGTTTGCTAAGAATAACGGCCTCTAGTTCCATCCACGTTTCTGCAAAGACATGATTTCATTCTTTTTTATGACTGCATCGTATTCCATAGTGTACATGAACCATGCTTGCTTTATCCAATCTGTCATTGATGGGCATTTAGGTTGATCCCATATCTTTGCTATTGTGAATAGTGCTGCAATGAACATATGCATGCATGCATCTTTATAGTAGAATGTTTTATATTATCTGGGTATATACCCAGTAATAAGAATGCTGAGTTGAATGGTAGTTCTGTTTTTAGCTCTTTAAGGAATCAAAACACTGCTTTCCAGAATGGTTGAACTAATTTGCAATTCCACCAACATTGTGTAAGTGTTCTGTTTTCTTCACAGCCTCTCCAGCTTGTTATTTTTTGACTTTTTCATAATAATCATTCTGACTGATGTGAGATGATATCTCATTGTGGTTTTGATTTGTATTTCTCTAACCATCAGTGATGTTGAGCTTTTATTCATATGATTTTTGGCCACATATATGTCTTCTTTTGAGAAGTGTCTGTTCATGTCCTTTGCCCACTTTTTGATGGGGTTGTTATTTCCCTTGTAAATTTGTTTAATTTCCTTATAGATACTGGATACTAGACCTTTGTCAGATGCATAGTTTGTGAAAATTTTCTCCCATTCTGTAGGTTTTCTGTTTACTCTTTTGTTAGCTTCTTTTGCTGTGCAGAAACTCTTTAGTTTAATTAGATCTCCATTTGTCAATTTTTGCTTTTGTTGCAATTGCTTTTGGCATCTTTGCCATGAAATCTTTGCTAGGTCCTATGTCTAGAATGATATTGCCTAGTCTTCCAGGGTTTTTGTAGCTTTTGGTTTTACGTTTAAGTCTTTAATCCTTCTTGAGTTGATGTTGTATATGGTGTAAGGAAGAGGTCCAGTTTCAATCTTCTGCACATGGCTAGCCAGTTAACCCAGCACCATTTATTCAATAGGGAGTCCTTTCCCCATTGCTTGTTTTTGTCAGTTTCATATAAGATCAGATTGGTGTAGTTGTGTGGCTTTATTTTTGGGATCTCTATTCTGTTCCATTGGTTTATGTGTTTGTTTTTGTACCAGTACCATGCTGCTTTGGTTACTGTAGCCCTGTAGTATAGTTTGAAATTGGGTAGCATAATGCCTCCTGCTTTGTTATTTTTGCTTAGGATTGCCTGGGTTATTTGGGCTCTTTTTTGTTTCATATGAATTTTGAAGTAGCTTTTTTCTAATTCTGTGAAGAATATCACTGGTAGTTTGATAGGAATAGCATCGAATCTATAAGTTGCTTTGGGCAGTATGGCCATTTTAACGATATTGATTCGTCCCATCTATAAGCATGGAATGTTTTTCCATTTGTGTTTGTATCATCTCTGATTTCTTTGAGCAGTGGTTTATAATTCTCATTGTAAAGATCTTTCACGGCCGGGCGCGGTGGCTCACGCCTGTAATCCCAGCACTTTGGGAGGCCGAGGCGGGCGGATCACGAGGTCAGGAGATCGAGACCATCCTGGGTAACACAGTGAAACCCCGTCTCTACTAAAAATACAAAAAATGGGGGCCTGTAGTCCCAGCTACTCGGGAGGCTGAGGCAGGAGAATGGCGTGAACCCGGGAGGCGGAGCTTGCAGTGAGCCGAGATCGCGCCACTGCACTCCAGCCTGGGCGACAGAGCGAGACTCCGTCTCAAAAAAAAAAAAAAAAAAAAGATCTTTCACCTCCCTAGTTAGCTGTATTCCTAGGTATTTTGTTCTTTTTGTGGCAATTGTGAATGGGTTTGTGTTCCTAATTTGGCTCTCAGCTTGGCAGTTGTTGGTATATAGGAACGGTGGTGACTTTTGTATGTTGATTTTGTATCCTGAAACCTTGCTGAAGTTGCTTCTCCGCTTAAGGAGCTTTGGGGCTGTGGCTATAGTATTTTCTAGATACAGAATCATGTTATCTGCAAACAGAGACAGTTTGACTTCCTCTGTTCCTATTTGGATGCATTTTATTTCTTTCCCTATCCTGATTGATCTGGCCAGGATTTCCAATACTATGTGGAATAGGAGTGGTAAGAGATGGCATCCTTGTCTTGTGCTGATTTTCAAGGGGAATGTTTCCAGCTTTTGCCCATTCCGTATGGTGTTGGCTGTGGATTTGTCATAAATAGTTCTTATTATTTTGAGGTTTGTTCCTTCAACACTAGTTTGTTGAGAGTTTTTAACATGAAGAGATTGAATTTTATCGAAATCCTTTTTTGTATCTATTGAGATGATCATGTGGATTTTGTCTTTAGTTCTGTTATGTGATGAATCACGTTTATTGATCTGCATAGGAAGAAGATATTTAGCCCAAAATGATTCAGTCAGGAAATCAAGTTGATCTGGTGTTAAAATTGTCCAGTTTTTTTCCAATGGTATATCTCCAGCTCCTGGAAAAGTGGCTGTCACCAGAAGGTATTCATTAAATATTTTTTGACTAAATTAATGAATTAAACAAACATTTTCTTCATATACTCTAGGTAACTTAGAGGTCTCTAGGAGGGGTGTTAAGTGTAGCAATTGGGGCTGGTTCCTGCAGCACTTGATGAATACTTTGCTTCAAAACAAGCCACTTCACAAAGAAGAATCATTAACAAGCTGCAGTTGGTTTTCATGTACTGCAAAGGATTTTTGTCTGTGATGGGTAAGCAAGAGGCCCATGTTCAACTCTCTCCTTTTCATAGTTATATAAGCAACCTGTGTCCACAGAGATGCTCTCTGTGGTTTATGTGTTCACTCATACTCTGTTACACATGGTTTCTTATTTTAAGTTAGAAACACTTGTGTGCATAGATCAGCTCAAAATCAGAAATTAAATGCAACATGGGAAGCACTGGTGGGGACCCAGCTTCCAAACATGTATTACATGAAAATAGTAAGACTTTTCTTTAATGTCAATTTAATTAAAGCAAATAAATTATGCAATGTTATTGGCTTATTCCACTGCCCTTTTACCAAAACAGAGTTCTCTGTGCACATAGTTTTTTTTTAACATTTAATCAATAAACCACAGTGATCTGAGCATCTGGCTCCCTTAATAAGGGGATTGTGGAAACCCTGGGCAGTAAATTAGATTTAAGAAAATTTCTAAAATGAGAGAAAATTACATTATAAATATGACATTAACATTCCAAGGCACCAGAACCTCCTTGAGACTGCAGAGTCCCTGAGCTAGGTAGGGATCTATACAGAGCACAGCAAATACTTAGATCACTCTTAAGATGTGGACGGTCAAACCTGTCAGGAATAGTAGCTTCATGCCAAATCTGCAGGAGCCCTTTCCCTTCTTGACCACTGGGCAGCTTCTTTGACAAACACCTTTTAGGGATTCTGAGAACATTTCACCCCCTGCCATCTCTTGGCAAAGAACAGCTGAATGCTAAAGGCATATTTTCTCAAAGTGCTTGTTAATGACTTGACTGTGGAATTACTTGCTGGGCTGCTGCTCTGGAGTGGTCATTACAATATTTCATTCTTCTTGCTTAATTTCAGGCTGTGCTTCCTCCATACATAAATACATCAAGCTATATAAAAACCAGAACTTTTATCTGCATACAGGGGTTTAGAGAGTTCGTTTCTCCTGCTCTGTAGGACAAGAAAAATCATTGTTTCCCGCTTTGATTTAGAGATTTGATTTATGCAGGTTTGCCTTTCAAGCTTCTGTTTCAGATGTGCTAACTCTCAGGTTTGTGTGCATTTGCTTGGATTTACTGACATGAGTTTAATTCCTGATTTACAACCTGCAGGCTTCAGATGAAGAATGAATTTTGATTTAGGGTAACACATTCTATATGGCTTCTATTTTCTACTCAGATTCAACTATTAGTTGGTTTTAGCACAAACTGAGTTATGGCTTTTCCTAAAAGGCCCTTTTTTGATTAAATTAAGATGGATTGAAAACCAAATCTTTCCCATATAACTACATGAAATAAAGTCCCTTCCTACAAGTCTGACTGACATGAAGTGGGGCCTCCAGAGAGAAGCTCCCCTGCTTCTGCACAGTTCTGCTGATTCGTGGCTGAGTATTGAAATCTTCTGGTTCTTCTCTCATGATCATAGGTTTGTTTCTTCATTTATCCATTTTCAAAACTCTTTGCAAAGATCTTTTACAGTCGTGTGTCACAGGATAAGCAGAAAAAGTTCTACGCCTTGTAATGTGTTGATGAACATCCAGTGTCCTGAATCACCCCAAACACACAAGACAAGTAAAACAACAACAACAAAAGAAACCCAGCAACACATGTAAGTCTTAATGTGCATATAATTTAGTATATTCTTCTATTTGGATCTTTGAGATATGCTCCTTAAAAGTTGGAAAGCTCTTGATGTATAATTAATAAAAGTGGTCTTTTCTCCAGTCTCACTTGGGTAACAGTTTCTTGAACTGATCAACCTTCAATCTGCCAAGGATCTCCATTTGCCTCAAAGATATTTATAACCATTATAGCAAAAATGTGAAGTGAAAGGAAAAGGTAACTTCTGATTCTATCTCAAAACTATAATTTAATGGCAAACCCCATCTTTAACATGGCCTGGGTGACTTAAATATAGAGTTTTTTGTTTGTTTTGTTTTGTTTTTTGTTTTTGTTGTTTTTAAGACAGGGTCTCACTTTGTCATGCGGGCAGTAGTGCAGTGGCCCAATCTTGGCTCATTGCAACCTCCGCCTCTGGGTTCAAGCAATTGTCCTGCCTCAGCCTCCCGAGTAGCTGGGGCTACAGGTGCATGCAACCACATCTGGTTAGTTTTGTATTTTTAGTAGAGACAGGGTTTCACTGTGTTGGCCACGCTGGTCTCAAACGCCTGATCCTCAAGTGATCTGCCCACCTTGGCCTCCCAAAGTGCTGGGATTATAGGTGTGAGCCACCGCATCCAACCAATGTAGGGTTTTACATAAGGAAGACTAATTGGCCTGGAAGAGGAAGAGGTGAGAACCTGCCCTTTGTGGCGATTATTGGGCAAAAAAGGGAGAAAGGAGAGCAGAGTGATCAAGCACTGGATGTTCTGAAGAAGGAACACAGACATATCAAGAAAGGGCTGGTGTGCCAGCAAAGGTATGGGATCAGAGCAAAGGCCAGGGTCAGGCCTTTGAGGCTTGAGCCAAGCAGTGTGGACCCAGACTCCAGCCGAGCAACTACTTTACAATCAGGAAGAGCAGAGGGTCGATATCACACCTCACAGATACCCTGCTCCCATAGCCATCAACACAAAATCACAAAGACACAGCCCTCTGCCATAAACTCAGCTACCAGCTTGGAGAAAAACAGAGGAAGAAAGAAAACACCCAAAAGCTGAGAGTTTATTTGGATTATTGACCAGAAAGAGAGTTATTTGAAGAGGCAGCTTTAATTATGCAAATGAACAGAATTGACCAGAGAGGGGCATATACAAAAGATGAAATCAGTTATCAAAGAACAGTAGATATATATTTTATTTGAATTTATTTATTTATTTACAACTCCAAATATGTTTGCAGCTTGTTATGATTATTGAAATGCACTAATCATTGTATCTGTGTATTAAATGACTTATTAAAATTACCTAGGGCTGGTGCAGCTTGTTTTGATTATTGAAATGCACTAATCATTGTATCTGTGTATTAAATGACTTATTAAAATTACCTAGGGCTGGTACAGCTTGCTGCAGATCCTCAGGAATATTTTAATATATTGATTGGTGTATCTATTATTTATGTAATGCACTATTTAATCACTTGGTTTCTTTTAATGGTTATTTTTATGCTAACCTTTTTATTTATTGCATGTGACACTAGTTTTCCAGTTATAAAAATGACATAAAGTTTCCTTTTAAAATTAAGTTTTTTAAAAAAGAGTTGATTTAAAAAAATATTTAATAAATAATAGTGCAAATGGATAGCAGACATAGCAACAATTATAAAGTTGGTATCAAAATGTCTGAAGTTTGAGAGGTGATACTCTAATGAAAATTATGGGATCTTCATCCACAAGGAAACTTGAAATGTGCACAAGCACCTAATAATCCTTTCGATAACTGGAAGCAACAGCACCAGGCTGGGCCCGTTAAGGGAAGGCTGATTGGTTAAGAAAATCATTCAAAGAATAAAGGGTACTCACATTGGAGCTCTTTTTATGTGCTGATGCTTTACATATATGGTTCTAATTTAACCTTTACAGCAGCTCTGTGATTACATTTTAAATGAGTACACCAAAGGCCTGAGAGTTAAGAGATGGATCCAAGTTCATGTAGCTAGTAAACAGCAAAGCTGAAATGTGAACCCTACTCCCTAAGAGCCAAGATATGTACTAAATCGAAGAGTTGAAGTTTGTCACTGAGATTCATTAAACAGCTATCCAAAACAAACAAACAACAACAAACAAACAAACAAAAACAGCTGTCCCAAGAGTAGTTGGGCCTATGTCTGTCTCCTTTCAGATTTCTCAAACCGCAACTGGATGTTGCTGCCCCAAGGGATGAAAAGGAGGAAGACAGTCCCTTAGCCAATAAGTAAAGAAGACGGCTCAGAGACCTTGACCTCTGAGACCGTGCCCGGGATGCACCTCAAATCACCAGGGTGTGACCGACCACTCATGGGCAAATAGCATGCGAGGTTTGTCTGTTGTGGTCATCCTGCGGCTAAACTAGAATCCTAGCCTGGGGAGAGTCAGCAGTAGTGTCTCTTAGTTTATAATTCATTAGAAAATGTCAATCCCCACTTCTTGGGATAGTTCAAGGGTATAGTGACAGGAATCTGAGTTGGCTACTGGTCGGTTAGGTCGTTGGTTTCACAAGCAAATGCTTCCCCCTAGTGGCTATGGCTGGTCATTGCATGTGCCTCCTCTCAGGACTCACTTCTGGAAAACTCTAAGGTGACTGTGCAATGTGGGTCACAAACAATTCTCCCTCACCTCCTACCCCCAGTAACTGCCCCACCCTGTAATATTCCTCAACAGTCCCTCTGTGCTTGCTGGACTGCCTTTGCGCCTCCTGCCCACCCTTCCCAAGGTATACTGGCTGCTTTCCAGACTTCCGGGTCCCCTCGTCCAGGACACTGGTTCTTCTCTCCTGTGCCTGGACCAGGCTGACAGCTCTTTCTGAGCATCTGCAGGCCCTGAAGCTTTGGGGACAGCGCCCTCTCCTGCTAACTTCAGTTTCACGCATGCAATTGACTCGCCCCCAAAACCGGATTGGAAAGTCTTCTCCAGACTTTCTATCCCTTAATGCAACCAGCCTAGAGAGGACTAGGCCTGTGGGTTAGAGGGATTTTATTAAATGCTGAACTCTTTTAGGAAGATGACTGAATCAGTCAAGGTTTTTCAGAGAGATAGAACCAATAAGCTAGAAAGAGACAGAGAGAGAGGAGAAATGATTAATTAAGGGAATTGGCTCACTTTGTAAGGAAGGCTGAGAGGTGTCACAACAGGCCGACTGCAAGCTGGAGAACCAGGAAAGGCAGTTGCATGGTTCAGTCCGGATATGAAGGCCTCAGAACCAAGGAAGCCGATGGTGTAACTCTCAGTCTCAGGCCAAAGGCCTGAAAGCTGGTGGGTGGTGGAGGTGGTAGGGACAGGGAATGCTGGTGTGAGTCCTACAGTCCAAAAGCCAGAGGAACTGGAATTCTGACATCCAAGGGCAGAAGGAGAAGGGCATCCAAGCTCTGGAAGAGAGAGAGAACAAATTCACCATTACGTTACCTTTTTTTTTTTTTTTTTTCCATCAGAGCCCTCAGTGGAGTGAATGGTGCCCCCACATTAGGTGAGGATGGCTCTCCCTTATTCAGTCCATTGATGCAAATGCCAGTCTCTCCTAGAAACATCCTCAGAGACACACTCAGAAATAAAGCTCTACCAGCTAGCTAGGTGTCCCTGAATACAGTCAAGCTGACACCTACAATTAACTATCACAATGACTAAGAAAGTACCTTGATTTCAGTAAGTCATCTTCTCAGACTCCTTTTGCAGCCGTACCCTGGGATCCTACAGGAAATAGAAGAGGAGAATTGTGTTTCTCTGAAACTCATCGCCTCTGCAGTATGACCCTGGGCTACACTTCCAGATAAATCTTCCCAAAACTATCAGCACTTACTCCAAGAACTCCAGCCCAAAGGAGCCAATCACTGCTTCCCACTTCACTGACACCCACCACCCCGTCTACTTGAACCCTCTTAATTTCCCAAACTTCTAATCATTCATCAAAGTTCAACTAAAATGCTTCCTGGTCCACAAAACTGTCATTATTCCCTAAGGCTTCAGCCTGAGATATTTCCCTCCTCCCATCTCCCTATTTGTTCTGAGACTTTCTTTAGAACAATTGTCACTTTATTACCACTACTGCTGCTATTGTTGCTATGGCTAATTCTACTCTTTACTCTTATTTCTTTTTAAATTTTATTTTAGGTTAAAGGGGTGCACCTGCAGGTTACCTGGGTATACTGCATGATGCTGAGATTTGAGGTATGAATTCCTGTCACCCAGGTACTTAGTACCCAATAATTTTTTGACCTTTGCCCCCTCCTTCCCACTCCCTCCAGTTTCTATTGCTGCTATCTTTATGTCCATGAGTACTCAGTGGCTAGCTCCCAGTTATAAGTGAAAACACGTGGTATTTGGTTTACTGTTCCTGCATTCATTCGCTTACAATAGTGGCCTCCAGCTGCATCCATGTGGCTGCAATGGACATTATTTCATTCTTTTTTATGGCTGCATAGTATTCCATGGTGCATATGTATCACATTTTCTTTTCCAATCCAAGCAAAGTCTACTCTTTATGGCTTTCCAGTGGTTGGCTGGAGGAAATAGGAAGACTATGAAGGAGTCAACCGTTCTGAGTGGGGACTAACCCTAACATAAAATTCAGGAAAACACTGGGCAGAATATGATTAATATTAGGAAAAAGAACATTGCCATAATAAGAATATATTCATGCTTATTGTGTGCCAAGTGTTAAGCAAAACATGGCTTACTTAATGGCTTCTTAAATATATTCCCCCAAACCCAATAGAACACGCATAAAAGACCCACTTTATAGTTAAGAAAGCTGAGGCTCCTAGAGATAAAGTAGCTATCAGCTAATTGTGGCCACAACAATGTGGGATAACAGCCACAGAACTTTACTGGCCTACAATGATCTGCCTTTATTTACTCATGGGACAGAAGGCTGAGGCTGGGCTGATCTCAGCTGGGTTTGGGTGTTAGTTTGCTAGGGTTGCCATAACACAACACCACAGGTTGGGTGGCTTAAACAACAGAAGTTGATATTCTCACAATTCTGGAGTCTGAGGGTTTAAGATTAAGGCCTGGCTGCCGGCTTGCTGTGTCCTCACCTGGTCCTTTCCCTGTGTGTCCAAATGTCCTCTTATAAGGATACCAGGCATATGGATTAGGGATTCTATTGGCCTCATTTTCACTGAATCACCTTGTTAAAGGCTCTATGTACAAATATAGTCACATTCTGAGGTACCGCGTTAGGGCTTCCACAGATGAAGTTGGTGGGGGTGGATGTAATTCAACCGTCGCAGTTGTTGGTGCGTTTGTGGAGAAGCTGATCCTTCATCCATCTGTGAATCAGCCGGAGGCTCTGCACCTACTTATTCATTAATTCATTCAACACATACTGAGGCCAATTGTGTGGAAGGAGCTCATGAGGTACAGGAGATATAATCGTAAATTACACAAACTTTCTATACTCTTGTAGCCTCATGGGGGATACAGACAATTGCAAAAGGTTATCTTAAGAAATAATAGAGTAACAAACACAAGCAGTGGGTATTAGAGTCTTAGATTTGGCTTCCTGCAGGAAGTGACACATTGGAGCTGGAGCCTCGCTCCCCACATAGAGAACAGAACAGAACACAACACACCTTCCTAGTATAAGGTAATGTGCTTGGGAAAATGTCTCATTCATGCTTACACCAGTATGATGCTTAGCATATGGACTAACACATAATAAGCAGTACTCAAAAAATATTGCCTAAAAAGACCACAGAATCAGTTTGGGAGGGATCAAGGACCCATTTTTAAGTTTTTTTTTTCCCTCTCTTGTTTATCTAGGTATCAAAGAAGAAGTAAGCACAAAAAAGAAGTTGTTAACAAGAAAAATTGGGCCTTTTATCTACCACACTGAGATTAAATAAATAAAACTGATTTGAAAAATAACTGAAAGTTATCAGATGAAAGTAGACACATAAAAATAAATACTATAACACTATCGGCACATATGGAAGACAGGCCTGATTTTTGTCCAAGAATCTGGCATTTTTCAAAAGTGACTCAAAATTAGGAAAACCAGAATCATAAATAAAAAGGCTGATAAACTTGTCTACATATTTTTTAAACTTTTGCATGGTAGCATACACACATACATACACACACACACCTGTGAGGTTGACATTTAAATAATAATTTTTTAAAAAATAATTGCAGCATATATGAAAAAAGAGTTATATTCCTAATCAAAGACCTTTCAGAAAATAACACCCAAAAGAAAAGTAGACAACTCAGTCTATACTAAAAAGAATGATAAAAAGTAAATGTATGATACATATAATAAAAATGTTAAGTCTCACTATGAATCCAAGATATGTAATTAAACACAAAAGACATACTTTATCATCTGCTGGGAAAAATTTAAAACATTGGAAATTGCCTCTTCCAATAGGTGTTGGTGGGAGTGTAAGTTGGTACAGCTTTCTAGAGGAGCATTTGATAATATATATCAATATGTGCAATGTTAATCACCTTGACAATTCTAGAATGTTCAGAGATAACTTGCCAAACTGCACCGATGTTGCACAAAAAGATTCATTGAATATTTATTACAAAAACTGAAACAAAGTATTTATCCGCAGGAGAACATTTATAGATTAAGTTTTTTAATAGATATAAAGTGAATCAAATTTTCTATTTATCCTTATACCAGTTTCTAAAATGTGTATCCTTTAAGGAATTTGTCAAATTCATCTAAGTTGGCAAATTTGTTTGTGACACAATATATTTGCTCATACTATTGTCTGGTTATCTGAGTAATCTCTTTAGGGTCTGTAGTCATGCTCTTTTATTCCTAATATTGGTAATTTCTATCTTCTCTCTTTTTTCCTGATCAGCCCAGGTTTTGGTTTCATTGTTTTTTTCTCTATTAAATTTCTGTACTCGATTGCATTGATTTTCCTATAATCTGTATCATTTATTTCTTTCTAATTATTTTGGGTTTAATTTACTCATCTGTTACTGGCTTCTTAAGGTAGAAGTTTAGAACAATGATTACAGACCTTTCTTTTTTTCTAATATGAATATTTAATGGTACAAATTTCCTCTAGACACCATTTTTTCTATCCCACAAATTTTGATATGTGTTTTCATTAGTATTCAAATCAAAAGTTTCTAGTTTCCCTTATAATTTTCATTTTGATCCATAGATTGTTTAAAAGTATATTGTGTTTTTTTAAAATAATATTTGGGGATTTTCTAGATATCTTGTTACTGGTTTCTAATTAGGTTCCATTGAAGTCATAGAAAATACTCCCTTTGATTTTAACCATTTAAAATTTATAGTTACTCGCATATGATCGTTCTCATAATTGTTTTATATGTTCTCAAAAAGAACGTGTATCTTGTTGGTTTATCACCCTCTGAATGTTGATAAAGACTGTTTGATACTGATCTTCAGGTGTTTGAGAACCTCATCAATTTTGTGTCTACTTGTTCTATCAGTTACTGAGAGGTGGCACCTTGAACATTTACCAGCAGTTCTGTGTGGAGTAATTTACTCAGCTTACAACTTGGTATTCCTTCTTTGCCTAGCCTCATGAAGTGTGACCCTATGTGTTTATAGCTTAATGTTTACCAAAAACTCAAGGAAGCCCCTTTGCAGATATCTGGACCTCTTTCTCTGCATAGCTTCCTTCTGTCCTGTATTCTGCCCTGGAAATTACCACCAACTCAGCCTCCCAGATTTCAAATACGTGTCTCGTCATCTGAGCGAGTCCACCGTGCTCCTGTAATCATTCTCACCTTGTGCTGCTGCCCAGAAAGTGCCTCCATACAGAAAGGCGGCGCCATCAGGGCTTACTTTGCCGATTTCCCTTGTCTCTGTGGTCCCAGTTTTATTCTGCCGGTTGTCTAATGTGTGAATGTAGTTATTTTATATATTTAAAAGCTCAGTTGTCTGGTTGTTTGCAGTGGAGGGAAAGTCTGGAACCAGGCATTCCCTCATAGCCAAAAGCTGAAGTTCCCAGTTGCCCGATATTAATATAGGATCACCAGTTTTACTTAGGTTAATATTGTTTAGTACATTCATTTTTCTAAATTTTTAATTTAAACCCTTCTCTGTCCTTATATTTCAGGGGTATTTTATTTAAACAGCACAGAGTTGAGGTTTTAAAAATACAGGCTGAAAGTCATTTTCTTTTAATGAAAGTAAGATCCATTTACATTTGTGGTAATTAATATTGTTCTTTGACGTTTTCAGTTTTGTTTGGAAAGCATTTTTTCCTTCTTTTGTATTTAATTTGTGCTTTTTCTAATTATACTTTTACTCCCTAAGCTAATTTAGTAGTTATGTTTTTGTAGCTATTTTTAGATAATTTCATATGCATACTTAACAAACTCTTAATTAATTAGCTGACCTTCCTCCTGAGTAAAACCAGTTTACTAGTTTTTTCTTTGACTAGCCTTTGACTAATCTTCCGGTTTAATCTATTATATTTTAAGTTTCATTTATATTTTTTCTAGATGTTCTATTTGGTTATTTTACAAATTTGCTTTAATATTCTCTTGTTACTTGCTCATATTTTCAAGTCTTTTTTATTACCAAAACATATTAAATATACTTATTTTACATCCTGCATTGGATATTCCAATTCAATTTCACAATCCCTTATGTGAGATTCTTCCATTAAAAAGTTCTGAAAATACAATTTCATTTTCATCAGGAGGGTAGACAATATCTGTTCATGAGCAAAATTCTAGCTGCATTGCCATAGGCTGTTTAAAGGCTGTGTTTCTAACCACTTTGTATATTCTGCTCTGATGTTTTTCATTATGTAGTATTGCTACAGACCCCATGCAAGCTCTTCTGGAACTACCATAAATAAACTCTATTACATTTCTGTAATCCCAAAAAGATTTGAATTTTGAACCATATCTAGTTCCAAAGATTTTTGTTAAACAAATGTAAACAGGCTTCTGGAATTCTTGTGGATCTAACACTATTATCTGTGGCTGCTGGCTGTTATTCATGGTAAATTATTTTATTTTCACCATGAGTTCACATTCTTTATAACTTCATCTTTGGGAATACTTTAAGGCTTGGGTTGAAGTTGCATTTTTCCAGAGAGAATTTCTGTCTGTTTCTTCCAGTTTCCTGGAACACTATCAATCAAGGCTAACTTTAATGCAAATTATCTGCTTGTGAGAAATGGTTTATGGTTATAAATTCTTAGGTTAAACCTTTTTTCCTGCAATGCTAACATTGAAATATGTGTGTTTCCTTGCCATCTTCTTCGGTGCTGTAGGTTTGTTTTTGTTTACCACAAAAAAATGTGTTTCTTTGGGGTCTCAACTTCATGTGGGCAATTCCTAGTTGACTCACCACCTTGAACGGGCTTTGGGTTTATTTCCTATTTTATGAACCACATGCAACCATAAAAATGGAAGTTTAAAGGCAACAGGGCTTGACCGATTCCCTGAAATAAAAGCTAGGATCAGCATTCACTTATCTCACTTCCTTTTGGGTTTCTAAGGAATTGTTACTTTCTTGCAGAATGAGCTAAAGGAAGAGATCTTTGTTTCCAACATATTACATGGATTTTTAAAAGTCATTTTTTCTTGGGGTGATGCCTTTGGGATACCTAGTGCATAATATTGCAGGAAACAGAATCCACCCCCACCTCCCACCCACCCTACATGGTTCCTTTTTCTCTTTCTGCTCTACTGGTCCTATGTTTGGCTTTTACCTGCATGATTTTTAGGTGGCTGCTATACGTCTAACAGTCTTTTGGGCATTGCAGGCAGGAAGGCATGGAAATGACAATGGAAAGAAAACAAAGTGTATTATTTTAGTATCTTCCTTTTTGTCAGGAAAACATTAGCTTTTCTAGAAGACTTCAACTGACAGTTCATTCACCAGAATTGTGCAACATGACCACCCTTGGTGCAAGCAAACTGAGAAATGAGCCAGACATGCTGCATTATGAAAAACGGGCTCTGTTAATAAAGAACTAGGGAATAGATATTGCAGTAGGAACCTGGAAATGTCTTCTGTTCCCTGGAATCATCAGAACAATAATTATAGTTTTTTTTTTTTGTTTTTTTTTTTACGCTGGGTTATACCCAGTGACAAATGAGCTATGATGTAAAACAGTGGTCCCCACCCTTTTCGGCACCAGGGACTGGTTTTGTGGAAGACAGTTTTTCCACAGATTGGGGGGTGAGTGGTTTCTGGATGAAACTGTTCCACCTCAGATCATCAGGCATTATTAGTTAGATTCTCATAAGGAGCACGTAACCTAGATCCCTCTCATGTGCAGTTTGCAATAGGGTTCAGGCTCCTGAGAAACTAATGCCTCCACTGATGTGACAGGAGGCGGAGCTCTAGGCGGTCATGTGAACGATGCGGAGTGGCTGTAAATACAGATTATGCTTCCCTCCCTCGCCTGCAGCTTACCTCCTGCTGTGCAGCCTGGTTCCTAACAGGCCACGCACTGGTACTGGTCCATGACCTGGGGGTTAGAGGCTCCTGATGTGAAAAATAGACAGATGATATAGAGATACAGAATCTCTCAACATTAGCCCTACTGACATTTTGGGTCAGGTCATTTTTTTTCTTGACAGGGACTGTCCTGTCAGGACCATAGGGTATTTAGCAGCGTCTCCTGTGGTCTCCACCCACTAGATGCCAGCAACACTCCCACTCCACGACAACCAAATATGTCTCAAGACATTGCCAAATATCTCCATGGAAGAAAAATCACTCCCAATTGAAAACCACCGATATACAGATACGGATGGACATTACATAGATGTAGATATGCATATGTAAATATGTGCACATATAACATGCCCAGGTGTGCACGTGCCTGCACACACACACACACACAAACACGTAAGATTTACTTGCTGTTCATCCCTAACACTAAGGTTGTAGCCTTTGGGGTTCCAGCTTTATGTAGGTCTCGAATTTTCACTGAAACTGTCTGAGGAAGGTACTATTATTATTCCCTGTTGACACTGATAAGCAAACTGAAGCTCTCAGAGATTGAGTAACTTGCCTAATACCACACAGCTAGTCATACTGTGGTGAGATGAGGCGGTGGTCTCTAGTCAGCTATGAACAATCTCTAAAACTTATATCTTTGATTTGGCTGAATCTTACCAACCTTACACCTTCCTGTTCCTCTTCACAATAGTTACCTGTTTATTCAGAATATTGCTGTTGCAGAGACTTCTGTAATGTTCTTCCTCTAACCCTTTATGTCATTTACATCATATGTCTGACCTTCTCTAATGCATCCTCTTGTGTAAAGACTTCCATTTCTCCAAGCTCAGCTCAAGTAACATCAAATGAAACCTAACACTGGAATGTAGACACCCTTCAACTAGAGATTTCATTAATTTTTAGATTCCATAGTTTCCTAACAAGACTCACTGAATAGATACTGTGTTACACAGTCCAGATCCCCACTTCAGGGCCAACATAGCCTGGTCTCAGCGTCTGGAAATATCAGCTGCTAATTTATAATGTGACCCTGACAGAAAATTGCACTTGACTTTAGGGAACTGGTTTGTCCAAGGTTATACACCTCACAGGAGCTCGCCCATGGCCAATAATTGGCCAATGCAGGGACACAAAGGCCCAGTCTCCCTTAATTTGGGACAATTCCAAAAGGCCATCTCAGCTCCAGAGCTCCCCATGAGACTGGCTGTGGCAGCAGTTCTAACTATGTTGTTATTCGGCTTCTCTTTCTGCACAATTCTGTCTGTGTAACTTCTTCATAGGTGCACCTTCTGAGAGTAATCACCCATAAACCATCTATATGCTACTCTTTGTTTCATAATGATCTCCAGATAATCCAATCAATCCAGTTGATGTCAGCGGTGGATCTAAGATGTGGACCAAAGAGAAATGGATGGAGCATCTGGTAGTTTGTGATACAGAAAAAACACAACTATCAATAAGCATACTGGTATTACATATTTTAAAATCATGTTGCACTTTCTAGTTGGAAATACATTCTTTTGCAAAATTTCTTATCAAACATCCATGAAGTCCTTGAAGGTTTGCAGAAATTCCTCCTAATTCCATGGAAGAGATGTGCATGGCTGTATCACCTATGCCAGTGTCCAGAATAAGAGCCATTCTCCTCCTGACTCCTCATCCTTGGCCTTTGCCTCCCTTCGAGGGTCTCCTGGCTCCACAGTCTTCTTCGGTGAAGAGTTACCCCTATCCAACAGCAGAGGGCAGCAAAGCCTATATTCTGACAACAGAGATTTCCTTGACAGGGATTTTCAGTCTCAGGGCAAATAATTTCAAAGAACTTTGTTACTGAAGACTAAAGCTAATTAAATTATCACTCTGGAGTGAAGATTACCCAGAATTAGTAAAAAACAAAATTTGCATATATTAAGTATACTGACTCCTGGAATAAACCCGAAAGCACAAGGGTAAATCAAACCCAAGATATCCAATAACCTCAGGGCCTCATCTGAAATCTCTGAACCCAGGAGTGAAAGGAATTTGAGGTGAGGCTGTGGCTCCATGAGCTTTCCATCCTCCTTCCATTCAGTCCATTTGTGCTCCTCCCCAACTGATTGGACAAACGCCACTAGGAAGCAAATGTGACAAATCACAGTCATGGCTCCAAATGACCTCAGGAAAGAAGGAAATGTTCCTATTCATAAACATGTCTCCCAATTTATTTAGCATTTTTTAAAAAGTATTTGAAAAATATTTTATAACTTTTCCATATTTGCTTTGCACAGATTTGCACAGATTTGAATACCTTGTATTTCCTTACTTCACTTGCAAACTATGTATTTTATTGAAACTGCATGTTTTAAAACTATGGCTGGTGTATAAAATACAATTGTCTTTTATTAATATCAGAAAAAAATATAAATTATTAATGTAAGCAATTTTTATAGTTTTTTTGGCTTTTCTGTGAAAACAATTATATTACTTGAAGTTAATGATAGTTTACTTTCTCCTTTCCAAACCTCGTACTCCTGCTTTGTCTTATACTAGTTTATTGGCTAGAACAACCAGTAAATGGTTAAAATAAGAGTGGATAGCTGGTATCCTTGTCTTTCCTCATATCTTTGGGGGAATACTTTTAGTATTTTATCATTGAGCATGATATTTTCTGAAGGAATTCTTTAAAATACATAATTTATCCATTCGTAAGAGATTAATAATGATAAAATGTTTAATGTCTTCAAATATTACTTTAAAATTCATTGTGATGATTCCACAGTTTTCTTCCCTCTGTTTCTTAGTATGATGCAGTAGGCACATCGTCCATGATCTCATCCCTGGCAGCTGTGAGTTTGTTAGCCCACATGGCAAAAGGAACTCTGCAGAAGGGATCAAGTTTAAAGATGTTGAGGTGGGGATATCATCCTGGGTGATAGAGGTGAGCCCCGTCTAATTACATGATCCTTAAAAATGGAAGAGGGCGGGAAAGAGTGGGTCAGAGAGATGCAGTATTGGACTAACCCACCATTGTTGGCTGGGAAGAAGGAGAAAGGAAACCATGAGCCAAGGAATGCCATGGCCTCCCAAAGCTGGAATCAGCACACAGTTTATGGCCAGTAAGAGAACAGAGACCTCGGTGCTACAGCCACAGGGTACTGGATTTTGCCAACAATCCGAATGACCAAGGAAACAAATTGTCCACTGCAGCCTCCAGAAAATAATTCAGCCTCGTCGGCACCCTCATTTTAGTGCAGTGAGGCCTCCATCTGACTTCTGAGCTTCAGAACTATAATATGATAAATTTTCAGGATTTATTACATCAGTAATGGAAAACTAATACACATGGCAAATCACATGAAAAGATTTTCTATTTTGAACCAACCTTACATTCTTGGAATAAAGACAGCTTGTCATAAAGTATTAATTATCAATTTGTTATACATCGTCCAATTCAGTTTGCCAAGAGTTTGTTTTGGATTTTCCTCTATCATTAGAAGTGGCCTGGCACTTTCTTTCCTTATACTGTTCTTTTCAGACGTTTCTATCAAAGCTATCCTGATCTCAGCGTTAGGGAGTGTTCTGTGTTACACATCCTAAAATTGGTTGCTGTGGGACTGCAATTCTTTCTTCTATCAAAGCTTTGTAGAATTAACCTGTTTATTCATTTGCACCCTGTTTGATCCTTGTGGGAAGACCTGAAGCACTGATTTAATTTTTTAATAGTTATAAAACCCTGCAGTTTTTCTATATATTCATAAGCCAGTTTTTATTATTTATTATTAGTATTCATTTTATTTGGCTGTATATGACAAAACAAAACAACTTTAAAAAACAGGCCCCTGCCCTTCAATGTATGTAGTTTCACTTACACAAGATAAATAAATTCTAGAGCTCTGCTCACAATATTGTGCCTACAATTAACAACATGGCATTGTGCACATAAACATTTGTTAATAGAGTAAATCTCATCTTAAATGTTCTTGTCATGATCAAAAAAATAAGGCTTAAATAAAATAGAAATTAATTTCTCCCTCACATAAACATAAACTCTCCAGGACTGGTATAGTAGCTTTGCGATGGGTAGAGCCCTAAGTTGTTTCTTCCATGTTTGCCCTAGAGTTTCCAGGATACACTCACAACCAATCTTAGTCCATTACAAGCATCACTATAGCACTTCCTGGGTAGTGCCAGTGCCTTGTAACAGAGTATTCTCAGTGTCTCTCTTTCATCCCCAATACCCTTGCTGTCATTTTTCTCATGTATTCGTATGCTATAATGATGCAACACATTGCTAGCTATTAATACTCTAAGGAATTAATTAAGAATGAGGAAAATAAAATATTTTATTTTACCTTCATTTATCCCTTCTCTGATTTTTTTTTTATTCTTTATGTGGACCCAGGTTTCTAACTTCCATAATTTCCCTTCTTTCTGAAGAACTTCTTTTAACATTCCTTTCAAGGCAAGTCTATTGCTCACAAATTCCCTCAGTTGCTGTTTGTCTGAGAAAGTCTTTATTGTTCCTTTACTTTTGAAGGAAAATTTCTATGGATAATAATTGTAGCTTGGTGGGTTATTGTCACACTTTAAATATTTCACTCCAGGCCGGGTGCGGTGGCTCACGCCTGTAATCCCAGCACTTTGGGAGGCCGAGGTGGGCAGATCAGAAGGCCAGGAGATCGAGACCATCCTGGCTAACACAGTGAAACCCTGTCTCTACTAAAAAATACAAAAAAATGAGCCGGATGTGGTGGCAGGCACCTGTAGTCCCAGCTACTCGGGAGGCTGAGGCAGGAGAATGGCGTGAACCTGGGAGGCAGAGGTTGCAGTGAGCCGAGATCGCGTCACCGCACTCCAACCTGGGCAACAGTGCAAGACTCTGTCTCAAAAAAAAAAAAAAAAATTTCACTCCACATTTTTCGTCCTTGAATGCTTCTTGAATAGAAGTCTTATGCGATTTGTATCCTTGTTTCTTTTAAATAAGGTGTTTTTATTTTAGGGCCACTTTCATGATTTTCTCTGTCTTTGGTTTTCTGTAATTTGTATATGGTATACCTAGCTATAGATCTTTCAGCATTTATCTTGCTTGGTGGTCTGTGAACTTTCTAGATTAGGGGTTGGGTGTCTGGCATTAATTTTGGAAAATTCTCGGGCATTATTAACTCAAATATTTCTTCTGTTTCTTTTTCTCTTTCTGGTATTCCCATTATATTCATGTGATATCTTTTGTAATTATCCCACAGTTATTGGATATTCTGTTCCATTTTTCATTTCTTTTTTCTCTTTGCATTTCAGTTTGACATCTTTTCAAGCTCACTGACTTTCTTCAGCCATGTCTAGCCTACTGATTAGCCTAGCAAATAAATTTTTAAAAGTCTTCTGTTACAGTGTTTATTTCTAGCATTTCCTTCTGATTCTTAAAGTGTCAATCTTGCTTCTTAGATTAACCATCTGTTCTTGCATATTGTCTGCTTTTCCATTAAAGCCCTTAGCATATGAGGGGACTTCAAAAGTTTATGGAAAATTTGAATTCAACAATAAAAATAAAAAATATAAGCTTTGTTTTCTAACATAAACTCCATCAAGGTCCAGACACTTTTGTAAGCAATGATACCGGCCACTTAGTCTATCAATAAAAAACTAAGGGCCCTGGGAATTTAACCATGCCAATGTAGTCTATTTACTTTTTTAATTGAAGAGAAATGGGTGCCCTTTATAGGTATTTTAAGAGTAGGAAGCAAAAATATGTCAGAAGGAGCCAAATAGAACTATAAGCTGGGTGCCTACAAATTTCCCATCAAAACCCTTGCAAAACTGCCCTTATTTGATGAGAGGAATGAGCATTGTCACTGTGGAGTAGCACTGCAGACAGTAGCATTGTCATGGTGGAGAAGGACTCTCTGGTGAAGCTTTCCCAAACTTTTTTTTTTTTTTTCTTGAAGCTTTGGCTAACTTTCTCAGAACATTCTCATAATAAGTAGATGTTATCATTATTTGGCCCTCCAGAAAGTAAGCAAGCAAAATGCCTTTAGTATCTCAAAAAATTGTTGCCACGACCTCTGCTCTTGACTGGCCCACTTTTGTTTTGACTGGACCATTTCCACCTCTTGGTAGCTATTGCTTTGATAGTCCTTGGTCTTCAAGATCATACTGGTAAAGCCATGTTTCTTCTCCTGTTACAGTTTGTCAAAAAATGCTTCAGGATCTTGATCTCATTTTTAAAAATCCATTGAATGCTCTGCTCTTACCGCAGCTAATTTGGGTGCAGTGGTTTTGGCAACCATCAAATAGAAACCTTGCAGAACTTTAATTTTTCAATCCCAATTGTGTAAGCTGAACCAATTGAGATGTCTATGGTGTCAGCTATTGTTTCTGCTGTTAATTGTCGGGCCTCTTCAATTAGGGTATGAATAAGATTAATTGTTTCCTCTCAAATTGATGTGGATGATCTGCTGTGGGCTTCATCCTCAACATTGTCTCATCCCTTTTTAAAATGAGTTGTCCATTTGTAAACTGTTTTCTTTGGAGTACTGTCCCCATAAACTTTTTGTAAAGCACTAGTGACTTCACCATTCTTCCACCAAAGCTTCACCATAGATTTGATGTTTATTCTTGCTTCAATTTTAGTAGAATTCATGTTGCTCTGATAGGGGCTCCTTTCAAACTGATTCTTATCCTTCTTCGAGTGCCTCAGGCTAGATCCTGTTCTGACATGTTGTAAAAAGCCATTATGAGTTTATTTTGGTACAGGCAATTTTTGGAATCCATGCACAGTTTTCTCATAATATGCATTTTTTGTGAGCTTTTTGAAGTCCCCTCATATTAAACATAGTTATCATAATTTCCCTATATAATGATTCCAAAAGCTGTCTCATCTCTAAGTCTGCTGCTTGCTTTCCCTCTTCTTGTGTTTTTCCTTGTCTTTCAGCATGCCTTGCAATTTTTAATTGAAAGTGGGCATGACATATTGGGTAATAGGAAATGAGGTTAATTAGGCTTTTAGTGTAAGGTTTTATGTTAATTTGGCAAGGAGCTTCAGTGTATTTATTTGTTGTAGTTTCAGGCTCCAGAGGTTTTGGTATCCTCCAGCTTCCTTGTATATTTTGTTTTTTTTTCTCCTCTGTTGTTTGGGTTTCCCTAAGAACTTCTTCATAAATACAGTCCATGGCTTGCTGTTCTCTGTTGTAATTCATTTTTATTATACTGGAGTCCTGTTTATGTTATGGTAAGCTGCTGAGAAAGAGAAGCATTGTATATTCTTATGATTAAATCTCAGTTTTTTAGTGGGCCTGAGTTTCCAGGCTGTGAGCTTTAGAAGCATTTCTTGGGCTTTTTTTTCCCACCCTTGCATGAGACAAGAAGGCTAGAGAGGTCGGAAAATGTCTAATTGCCTTTCCCCAAGATGTGAAGCAGTATATTGCCCTAGAGGACAGGCTATTGTTACACAGAATTCTCTGATAATATTTCAAAATGGCTTCTTTTTTGTTGGATGTATTTCAGAATGTATTTTTACCCACTCCTCCTGCCTGCAACATAGGAGATATTTCTCTGATCCTCACTTTGAGAACCTGGTGGGTGTTCTGGTGGCAAACCAACCACCCAACCACCCAACCACCTGTTAGGTGTTGGGGACCACCTAACACTGGGTTCTTTAGGAGCATTCAAGTATCAAGCTAGTATACTCTCTACCTTTAGCAATTCATGAAAATTATTGTTTAGGTGGTCCTACCAGTTACTGAGTGCAGTTCCTTCCACTCTTGGGCTAATCTTGGCTGTGGTTCTTCATATGTGCCAGTCTCTCCAAATGTCAGGGTAGTAGTTTGCCCTGTGATCTTAATCCTCTGATGGATCACAGAAATGACATGGATTTTTAGTTTGCTTGGCTTTTCTTCTTCTTGTGATGACTAGAGTGATGACTTCCAAACTGTTTACATGCTGAAGTTGAAATCAGAGGTCATACTTTTCCTATTCAATCTGACAATCTCTGTCATTTGATTGGAGTGTTCAGACCATTTATATTTAACGTGCTTATCCATGTGGTTGGGTTTAAATATATCATGTATAAATTTTTAAAATTTAAACCATGTCTTCTTTGCTCCTTTTTCCCCTTTTCTGACTTCTTTGAATAAATTATTTTTGTAATCAATTGTATCTCTGTCTTGGTTTATTAACTATACCTTATTGTTTATTATTTAGTGATTGCTCTAGGGATTACAGTATTGATATAAAATTTATCACATGCTAGCTTATAATATTTTACCACTTCACTTACCATGTAAGAGCATTACCACAATATAGTTCCATTTTCCCCTTTCCTTATCTTCTGTGCTATTATTGTCATTTAGTTTACTTTTACATATATTTTAAACCCTGTAATACACTGTTATTATTTTTAAGAAATTATCTTTTAAATAATTTTAAATGAGAAAAATATTTCTTATATTTATCAGTCTACTCAATATCTTTAGCACTCTTTATTCTTTTATATAAATTAGAGTTCCCTTTGACATCATATTTCTTCTTCCTAAAAATTTTCTTATATATTTCTGTAGTGTATATCTGCTAAAGTTGAATTTGCTAACCTTTTCCTTCCCTGAAAATAATTTTTCACCATTATGTTTGAAGAATATTATTCACTAGGTATTGAGTTCTATGTTGAAAATATTTTTTTTCTTTCAGCAGAAATATGTTATTCTATTGTCTTCTAGATTTTATAGTTTCTGGTGAGAGGACTGTGATTATTTTCAGTTTTGTTCCTCTTTATGTGTCTTTCTTCTAGTAACTTTTAATATTTTCTCCTTATTGCTACCTGTTTTTAGCAATTTGACTACAGAAGCTCTTTGACTTACAATGGGATTATGTCCTGATAAGGCCATCAAAAGTTGAAAATATTATACATTGAAAATTCATTTAATATATAGTAATTCCTCAGTATCTGTAGAGATTTGGTTCTGGGATTTCCTGCAAATATCAAAATCCACCAATACCCAAGTCCCTTATATAAAATGGGACAGCATTTGTCTACAACCTATGTTCATCCTCCTGTATACTTCAACTCATCCTTAAGTGACTTACAATACCTAATACAATACAAAGGCTGTTAAAATGGTTGTTATAAGATATTGTTTTATTTGTATTTTTTTGTTGCTGTAGTTTTTATTCTCTTTTATTTTTTCCCTAATATTTTGAAACCGTGGTTGGTTGGATCTGTGGATACAAATAATCACAGTTTAGCTTGGCCTTCCTAAAACATGCTCAGAAAACATACATCGGCTTACAGTTGAGCAAAATCAGATGGAAAGACAGTACACTGCAGAGCAGGAGTCATTTGCCCTCATGATCACATGGCTGACTGGGAGTTGTTGCTGCCTGCCACTGCCCTACATCATGAGAGGCTGTCACATTGCGTATATCTAGCCTGGAAAAGATCAAAATTCAAAAAATACAGTTTTCATTGAATGCATATCACTTTTGCACTATCGTAAAATTGAAAAATAATCATAAATGGAACCATCAAAAGTCAATGACTAGCTCAATTTTCAAAACGTGTTGTTTATGGCAGAAGGTACATCTGTTCGCAGTTAGTGCATTACTGCATGGTACCATTGTGTCCCTTTCTAAATACATGCTGATGTGTTTTTGCTCAATTATCTTTGACTGCAGCAGTTACCAACCAGCCTGTTATTTTCCCTAAAATAGAATAGGGTGAATACTCTTAACATTCCTCCCTATTTAATCAAGAGGTCATTAGCGGCTCCTGCATTAGACACTGGGTAAAAAGCTGGATATTCACTATTCTTTTATTTCTCTGAGGCCGTTAATTTAAGCTGAGGGGAGAATTACTGGTGTATGGAAAATACTGAACCAGGGAATTCTGTTACTGAGTTCCCCTGTAAATAAAAGAACATCTTTACTGTTTTCAGAACATACCTTATTCTTTCAAGAATGAGAATCCCCTTGGTTTTTGGATTTCATCCCATAGCCGTGAATCAGTTGCCGAGTTTGTTGAGAAGTGGGGGCAGCAATGCATCATCACCTCTTCTCTCTGATGAATAGATGTCTAGTTTACCCTGGATGGGCCCATTGCTGGGAAGTTGACTCATGTCTTTATTTCCTCAGTTCTGTTTGGAAGTTGGACCAGAGAAAACAATAGTAAAGAATGGTCATTTAATCTCTTCTCTAACTGACCATCTCTGCTCATCTACATAAGTTGAAATGCACTCCATATTACTATTTTTTGTTTTTTCCCCCGCCCTTTATGTGGTCTATCTAAGCTCTAGGCTTGTTACCTGCAAGCATAGGAGCATAGAGATATTAGTAGTAGCCCGCAGAAATATTTTTTCTTCACACTTACTTCAATTTTGAGTTTAAGGAGAGTTGTTCGTTGTTACCTTCAGGTCAGTCTCAATTTGATGTTAAAGATAAAGTAAGACCTCATCTGACAGATATTTTTCAGAAATTGTAGTATGAGATTAGGGACCTTTCCTAGTTTCAGCATAGCTGAGGTTTTCTTTCAATTTCATGTCTGTGTGCTGGACAGTGGAATATCTTGTAAATGTATGATTACTTTGTCACACTTGCTGGACAAAAAGTAAAGCCTTCCAAAATTCTTTTAAAAAAGAAATCAAATTCTTCAATTTCCTTATTTTCCTCTCCCATCAATGTAGCAAAGTGGGACTCAGGACACTTCTTGTCCCTCTCAAGTCTGTAGCTCTGAGTTCCTTTGGGGTAATTTGCCTTTTTCTGTAATTAAGTCAACATGATTACCCACCAGCAGCCTTTTCAAGGTTATCACTGCTGTAACATTGATATTTCCAAAGAGACTGAAATGTGAGAAAAAAATGGTCTTTAAGCAGACTCAAGAGAGATTTGAGATTCATTGTGCACATTAAAATGCAAATGTTTGTGAAATTCATTGTAAAAAAATGTACACTTCTATGTAATGCAATATTTAACACAACCAGTAGCAATACCCTCAGCACAGTGCAATTAAGAGCACATTCCAGAGGAATAGGTTCTTTTTTTCCACAAGTATAGAAACTTACTGATTAGATATGGAGGGTAAAATGAAATCAGTTTAGTGTGGTCAATTATAATGCATTCTTAAAAAAACACAACTTGTTGAGGTATGATTGACATACAAAAAGCCATACCTATTTAAGTATACAACCTGATGAGTTTGGAGATAAGTATACACCATGAAACCATCTTCACAAGCTATGCTGTAAACGTATCTATCACCTCCAAAAGTTTTCTTCTGCCCGCCTTAACAAATACTTTCTTGTAATTGATTCATTATGGTAAATTAAAGCTAAGAGAAAAATTTCCCTGAGTGAGCTGAAAATTTATTCCCTGCCTGTTAAACAACACGGATAGGGTAGTAAAATATGATTCTTCTAACTGCAATTCCATGGGGTCCTTGGACCCTATGGTCCTACTTATCACATCGCTGCATTGCATTTATGGTCCTTTAGATACATAGACAGAGATAGAGATAGAGATAGAGATAGAGAGAGATAGCTTAACTTTACCTCTAATATCCAGAATATGCTGAGTGTTCTTCCATCATCATTTAAAATCTAATCTGTGAAAAAAAAGAAAGATAATTTAGAAACGGGTATGCTTATTTCACCTTAGTTTAAAAGTTAAGCAGATCTTGAACAAAGGCAGCAATACCTATTGTCACTGATCAACCTCTCTGGAGTCTTTCAGCTCCTTCTCTTCAGTTGGCCTGCACTCTGGAAATCCATTCTGAGAAAGCAGCTGGCGAAAACAGGTGCCAAATCTGACTCATTTCTGAAGCTATAGATGTCAGGTGTGCATGAGGTTTCTTGTTGGTTTTGATGATTCCAGGGGAACTGGTCATCTGTGAGAACTACTTATCTATATTGTTTGCCTTCTAAATTTTCTGATTCAAATTGAAGTTTAATTTTTTAGGACCTTATATTAGTAAGAATCATTTTATGTATCTCAACTAACAACTCCTTTGGGACAGAAAATATATCTTATACTGTTTTATATTTCTAGTGCCCAGAAATAAATTCAGACTATTGTGGAGACTTTTCTGCCTATGTAATTAATCAATTAATTTATCTACATTTTGGCCTCCCTAAATCTCACTGTAAAGATGGAAAGTTAGCCACTAAGAAGCACAGGCCCATTATTTGTGGAAAAAGCCAAAGTTGGAGAAATATGCTGCTTTAGGAGTAGATTTTTCTAAGGTGGGCATGCTAAACAAACACAGAAACAGTTTGCCATAGAGGCAGATTGAGAAGGCAGACAATATTTTCTATAACAGAATTAATGTAATTCTAAAGTAGAATTGACAGATCACAGATCCTTACTGCTGCAGCAAGTCTCTGAGGTCATTGAGTCCATGAGGATTCATTAATTTATCAATAAGATGTTAACCTGTGCCAGGCATCTTGCAAGAATCAGAGATATTGGGATGAAGCAGAAATTATCCCTACCTTCAATGATCAGGGCAGTGTTATGGAAGGAGCAATGCATGGATCTGACCTATATAATGCTGCACACTGATGGCCAATGATGTGGCCAAAGGATCTGGCCTAAATTCCATCAACAGCAAACTATGAATTCTTAGACTTGTCTTATAATTCCTTTGAAACATGTTTACTTATTTGAAGAAGAAAAAATTTTAAAGAGGCTACAGAGATAGCTTAAGGTCAAAGACCAGGCAAGTGAGTGTGCCTCCTTTTTCCTGAGATCCCACTGAAATAAAAAAAATAAGTAAAATAAAAGAACAAAAAAGAACAAAAACAAAAAGAACAAAAAACAATAGTGATGAAGAGAAAGAACTGGAGGATAGAAATGTTATTTATATATAGTTGTAAGAATTCTAAAGAAAATTGGATATAAAATGAGGTGACAAATAAAACGGAAGGAGAATGTCCAGCAGATAATATACCACGAGAGCCGCCAGGGCAGTAGAAGCCCACCTACCCAAAGGACCTCAGAAAGGCACTGCATTCAGAGTCAGCATATGTGTTGCTTGGGGGAGGACAGAGGCAGGAATTAAAAGTTGAGTAGAAGACAGAAGGGGCAATTGAAGGTCAGTATATTGGACAGTTGAACAAAATGTGTTGTGGCTTTTCCTGCCCCACCCCTCCACAACCCACACCCGCTCCAGCCCACAGAAAACAGGCAGCCAATATCTAGCAAAAGGTAATACATGAGGTGGATATTTCTAACAAAATCAAATGGAATTCTTTGAATAATCTAATTCTTCTACCATAACTGTACAGAACCTAGACTAAAACCTTTTACTTTCTGATGTAGAATGGCCAGATTTCAGCCCTCTCAACCCATGGTTAGCATAATCATTAACATGTTCTACCTTGAGATCCTAGATGTAACTCCAATCCAGGTGAGAGCCCTAGCCAGGGAACTAACTTTAATGATGCTTAAAGAAAACCATCTCACAGAAGCAAAATAAATATGACATCAGATTTCATGTTGGAAAAATTGCAAATTAGAGGACAGTTGAACAACATCATTAAAATTCTAAAAAGAAAAACCTAGAATCCTTTACCCAATGAAAATACTTTCAAAAATGGAGGCAAAAGAAAGCCTTCAAAAACACAAAGGCTGAAGGAACTAATCACCAGCATATATATAATATAATAAATATTAAACTAAGTCTTTCAAGCAGAAGGAAAATAATATCGAATGGAAATTTGGTTCTGCGCAAAGGAGTAAAAAGTACCAGAAATAACTACATGAATAAATATAAATACTATTTTTCTTATTACTTAAATATATTCAAAAGATAATTGACCACTTAAAGCATAAGGAATAACAGTAATTTGGAATTTTTACTTGATCGATGTACAAGTAAAACATATGACACTAATAGCATAAAAAAGCAAGAAGGGAGAAACGGAGGCATGATGTCATAGGTCTTATACTAAAAGGTAAGTGGTGTACTACCACTGGAAGGTAGCTGTAAATTAAAGATAGTGCATTAGCCCATTCATGGTGCTATAACAAAAATACCAGAGACTGGGTGTCTTAACAATAGTAGAAATGTATTGCTCACAGTTCTAGAGTCTGGGAAATCCTAGATCAAAGGGTTGGCAGATTCGATGTCTGATGAGGGCCTACTTCCTGGTTCATAGCTGGACATCTTTTCACTGCATCCTCACATGGTGGAGGGCATGACCGAGCTCTCCAGGGTCTTTTGTTATAATATAAGGGCACTCATTCCATTCATGAGGGCTCTGTCTTCATGACTTAACCTTCTCCTAAAAGCCATACCTCTAAACACCATTACACTAGGGGTTAAAATTTCAACAAAAGGATTTCGAGTGGGCACCAACATTCAGTTCATAACACACATCTAATAGATGTGCTCATGAATGCTTCACACGTCCTCCTCCTGCTCTGGCCTTTACTTTGGGAGCATGAGTTATTGACTTTCCCCAGAACCACAGACAGGAGAGCAGCAATTCATCTGTCCTGCTGGCAGCTTGCACTGAAGGCAATGGCTGCCTCCACATTCTCTAGGTGACAGGCTATCACACATGGCTTTCATCTGATTCCCCTGCAAGATTTGGGCTGTGGAGAAATAGAATCTTTTATCCAGATATTTTAGTGCATAGAATTGTGTGTGATTAAATCATTTATCCAGAGCTTGTACCTAAAGCAGGCCCTGATATGAACCTAAACCTGTATTCTAGGCCTCCCCACATTCACCACATCGGGGTCTGATACTCCCACCACAGGGGGACTACTTTCTTTTTTATCATGCCTGTGAGTTCTTTGAAATCAAAAGCGGAATGTTATCCCTGGCTGGGGCTTTAGAGATCTAGTGTTACCCCCTTTTTTTTTTATTGCAACATAATATTTGTACATACTGATGGGGTACCTGTGATATGGAAGGGGGGCAGGGAAGTGCTGAGTAGAGAAAGGTGCCCTCCCTCGCTAGGGCTCCACCCCCGGGCCTGTGCCCATAGACCTAGGTTTGGACAGGCACTGCTGTTTTTGTGCCCAAGTGTTGCATTTTCTATGACCACCCTGGCCTGCCACACCCCCATCCTATGCCTATGAAAATCCTGGGGCCCTAGCAGGCACAGACATGAGCAGCTGGACATCAAGAAGAACAGACCAGTGGAAGAACACATAAGTGGTTGGATGTCGAGAGAAGCAGAGGGGCAGAAGAACACACTGGCAAACACCAGGAGACACTGGCAGTCACCAGCAGATGCCGGCAGGCCACCTATGGTGGGACAATGCAAAGTTTGGATGAAGACAGTTGGAGAAGAGCCGCTGCTGAGCATCCCGACTCCAGGGGAAGACCACCCCGACTCCAGGGGAAGACCACCCCACCTCTGGCTCCCATCCATCTGCTGAGAGCTACTTCCACCACTCAATAAAATCTTGAACTCATTCTCCAAGCCCACGTGTGATCCGATTTTTCCAGTACACTAAGGCAAGAACCCAGGGATACGGACAGCCCTCTGTCCTTGTGATAAGGCAGAGGGTCTAAACTGAGCTGATTAACAAAGCTGCCCACAGACAGCAAAACTAAAAGTGCACACGCCCCAGGAACTGTAAGCATTCACTTCCAGATGCCGCCATGAGGTCGGAGACCACACGCCTCACAACCTGCCCATCTGCATGCTCCCCTTAGAGGTTTGAGCAGCGGGGCACCAAAGAAGCGAGCCACACCCCCATCACACACCCTGTGAGGGGGATAAGGGAACTTTTCCCGTTTCACATATAATATTTTGTTACATGCATAGAATGTGTAGTGACCAAGTCAGGGTATTTAGGCTATCTATCACTGAGTGCATTTATCATTTCCGTGTGTTTGGAACATTTTAAATTCCAAACATTTGAGCTATTTTGAAATATAAAATACATTGTTGTTAACTATAGTCACCCAACTCTGCTACCAAAAATTAGGTCTTATTCCTGCTATCGAACTGTATATTTGTAACCACTAACCAGCCTCTCTCATCCTGCAAACACACCCTTCTTCACCTCATTTTACAAATGGAATTAGAAGAATAACAGGGTTAGGGACCTTGCTGAATGTACCTGAAGGTGAATGAATGTCAGCCTAGAACCAGTGATCCCTGATCTGTGGGCTGATGCTATGTCCGCGCTCCCTGACATTTACAGGACCAAGTGACCATGAACTCAGGACTATGAACCTCATCCAGGGACTCTCCCAATAGGCCCCGAACCCATAGGAATGACCCCCTTTCATTCAGCTTCTTCTAGTTCAAAGTACTTCTTGAGATTCCTTAGGATTTCTGTGAGCTGAGCTGTGTCATGGCTGCAAATTTTAACTGTACCAGACATAGTTCTTACTATGGTAAAAAGCAAACAGACATTTCCTATTATTGGTCTCCATAACCTTTCAAGAATCCAGACTGATAAATGTCCCTGGCTGTGGGAGGTGACTGACAGGCAGGAGCCTGGCAGCGCGTTGTCACAGGATGAATGACAGCTGAGGGCCTGTAACCTTTTCCGGTCATAATAGGGAGACAGAAATGAAAATGTTGTGTGGAGCACATCAGATTGTGATTCAGAGCAGGGAGGTAAGGACTAGGAGTCTATGGACTTGCAGAGGGAGATGAATAAAGATGGGTGCATGCACAGGACAGCAATTTTAGGCCCACCACATGCTGGGCATCATAAGGGGGATGAGATGGGAAGACGTGCATTTCTGTGAAGAGCTGATTGTCCCAGAAAAGTGGCATCAGCATTTCTATAGACTCAGCCATGGCACTGGTTGTTCATACATTTGTCATGTGATTTCCTTTAGGATAGAAACTATCTATCGTTCATGTAAAATTGACCTTGAACTCTGTAAGGAAGGTGGATGATGTCATCTGTCATATCATAACTCATTACAAAATATTAGTTTCAGGCTTTGTGTTAAGTGTTAGGGAGCAACAATGGTTGAGATAGATTCAAATATGTTCTTCACTCTCATAGAATTTACTTAGATAAGCAAGTATGAGTATGTGCATATGTGTGTGTACACTCATACATATATATGTTTACATGCATAAATGTGAGCTTAGTAAGTGCATAGCTTTCAACCAAATGATGTGTTGGGAGACCAGCCCAAAGATTTCAGCCAAGCAACATAATACACTGTGGTGGAATGAGCAAGGGCTTTGAAATGTGACCCTTGCCACTAACTGTTCACATCATTAGCGGGATTATTTAACTTTTTAGATTTCCCCCACCCTGTCCAACTTCCACACTTATCTATCCTATTGCAGGGTTATTGTGAAGGCAATGGGTGGGGTGTAATTTGCAGAGGGACATTTCAAGCAATAGTCATGGAACAGTGATGATTCTGTGGCTCCTCAAGATGTCCATGAAACTAAGACAATGTAGAGAGTATGTGCCATAGACACTGGCATGTGGCGGACCCCAAGAGCTTGGTAATGAGAAAATTATGATTACCTCTGGTACTTACACTGCAAAACCAATACACCATGGGTTATGCACAGTCATGCAGGGCCACCTTAAGAAAATAGAATACCTCCCAGGTGTAAAACTTCCAAAGGTACCAACATTTTATCAGAAGGTGCTGGTAAGCCTCCAAAGCATAACAAAAGTAAGGTCACCCAGGGACTGCCCTTAGGAGAAAGGACTTGAGATAGATAACATGGTTGTGGCCATCTCCACTCTGCCGGGGAGGAAAACCCCCAACACAGAGGTGGCCACTTCAGAGCTTGATGCTATTGCATTTCCAGATAATTTGCCTGAGTTTCCATATTATGAGTTCACTTATCTGATCTTTTATCAATTCTGCCTTCTACATTCCTCAAATGTATCCACTTCTACCTTCACCTTTGCCCCCACCATATTTCACGCCACCAGTGTTTCTCACCGCACCAGCTTCCTCACTTCTGTCTGTACTTCCAGGCCCACCCCCCGCCCATCTCCCTTCCAATAATTCCATGCACCACAGCCAGACAGATCGTTCTAAATCATGAATTTCTTGTTACTTTCCTGCTAAATCCCTTCAGATAGGTTTCCTATTATGTTCAGTATGCAATCTGAATACCCTGACGTGGTTAAAGGGCTTAATAGGCTGGCTCTGCCACACTCTGCAGTATCTATTCCAACCTGCTTTCCCCTCTGGATATAATCTCCTGCCACAGTGCACAAAGGCCTGCCTCCTTTATGGTGTACTCACCTTCCCTGCTTCTCAGGTGATCTGTTACACCGTCCTCAATTCTTCCTGTGAATATCGCTTTCCTGGGCTGGGTGCCCCTTCTATGTGCTCTCAGCTCCAGCACCTGCCTTCACGTCTGCCTTTTGCACATCAGATGGGACTGCTTGCTTGCTTTTGTGACTCACTGGCAAGGTGACTGTAATCCTTGTAAATGAAGAAACTGTGGCTTCCCCCTCTATGCTCCAGGTTCCCCATCTGAGAACTAGGAATGAGGACAGCAGTGAGTTCGCAGAGCTGTGATGAGAATCAAAAAAGCTAATGATCACAAAACACTTAGTTTCTGACAGAGAATAACTATGCGAGTGCTTATTTATATATAACATAAGAAATCACATACAGAGAATATAAAGTCATACTTTTGCATATAGTTATTATTACTATTACACTTCTTTTCCTGCTATAACTTTAGAATACTGTACAGTGCATGGCAAAAAGAAGTCTCAATAAATATTTGTTAAATAAGAAAATTAGTTTCATACATTCCATGTAACCATCTGATTTTTATTTGATTTCTTATGTCTCTTGATTACCAGGGGCAATTTAACCTTGCCAGGACCAAAAGCAAAACAAAACAAAACAAATAAACCAAAAAGAAAATCATCTTGTACAACTAACAACCATACTTTTCTAAACGCCACTAAATGGTCATTTTTGCTTTTGTATATTAGTCTCTTATAAGATCTGTTAGGGAGTCAGTCTCTCCAAGCCAGTTCAACTCTGGGAGTATTGAACTTGAAGGGCTGAGGATGCAATCATGTGTGCTGGTGAAATCACTAAAGGTAACACTGCTTTTCAAAGTTTTGGTTTTCTGAACTCTCAAGCCACTCCTCTTCCCAAATATCCCATTGTAAGCCTTCCTCAAACTTATTCCACAAGTACTTCCACATTCTCTCTCGCTCCCCTGTAAAAAGGGGGGAGGATGGAGAAAAATACAAAACAGACAACAGCTTCACTTTCTATACTACTCATTAGCTGAGATAGTTTGGAAGACAGGAGACTGCAGCGTTTGGGCAGCGGGAGGTGCAGGCCACGTGGTGGATCTCAGGGAGGCTGGCAGGAAGGTAAGAGCATGGCTGTTGGCCAGTGCAAGTGAATCCCAAATCCCAAACGAACTGGCTGTGGGCACTGGGCAATGATAATAGCCAACCTTATTGATCATTTTTCATCCTCTGGTGCAGTGTTAAAAACACTAAGCAGGGAGGTGGGGGGCTAATTTTTTTATTGTACTTATTTTTCTTCAAATAAACTTTATTGTTTATTTGAGAATATTAAATATTTGAGAATTACAGCATGACATTATGGGATACATGTAGGTACACAGACACTAAACATAAAAAGTAACTGAGACATTGAGAGCTTAATCACTATTCCAGAAATCAAAGAGCCAGTAAGAAGCAGAGCTGGGATTCAAAGCCAGGCAGCTTGACTATAGGGCTTGTACTCTTTACCAACAGTCTCTCAGTTTTCCTCTATCAAAAATGGGCCCATTACCCACATGCTATAGGATTTTTGTAATCATTACAGAAAATGAATATGGCAGGCACATAATAAACAGTGGCTACGTCAACCACCAACTCTGGGATCTCTAGCAATTTCCTTTGCTTCTGTGGTCTTCAGGTTTCCCGAGTACTTAATGAAAAGGATAGAGAAGTAACTCAGAATTCTGAGATTACAGCTTACATCTGCCCAAGAGCAATATGTTTCCCTCTTACTGAGGTGTCAGTCTACTGGCCCTCATCCTCTGAGGCATTTAAGCCTAAAGGCCAAACCTCCCCCATAGCCACCTATATCTCCAATTATAGCTTGTGAACTTAAATAGAGCCACTGCATACTCATCATTTTGATGGTTGCTTGCTAAGCTGTCTTTTAAGGTATGAAAAACTCAGAGTATAGAAAGAGGAATGAAAAAAGAATTACAAGATAGAGAGATGGACAACAGTCTCCAGCCATAGATTGATTAATGGTCCAACTTAAACTTGGAATTAGACAACCCACCGCATGGGCAAGAGAACTCATCTCCGAAGAATCTTCTAGCAAATCTGTCTAATTAAGGAACACCGATGACAAGCCAAGCCACATAGCTTTCATGGCCCTGACCCATGCTTGGGACTTCAGAAATGTCCTAACATCACTGGATACAAACATCACAGAAGTTCTTGTATGACTTTCTCTGCAGGTAGTATTGAATCTGGGAAAAAAGCATTCCAGAGTAGAACATTGTCCCAACCACCTGGTAACCTGGGTTGGCCCTGTCTCAGAGAAGACAAGGGAGATGGAGTTTGGGGCAAGATGCCATTTATCTGTTGTATTCTCAACCTCACCTCATCACCCACCCACCTAGGAGTGCCCTTGAATGGTTTCAACCCAAGTAAGACTGATTAAACTTTCTTTCCACAGCAAGGACAACCATACCTTCCAGATAGGAATATTCTCACTTTGTAGTTACGAGTTTTTTTCCTAGAAAAGAAGGATTCCTTTTAATTTTTGTGATAATTTTATGAATTTTTATGCTTCAGAGCTAAGGATCATTTCACTGTGACTTTCAGCAATATAATTTAATGATTTGGGGAATAATTGTTGCAGTTACTGGCAAAGAGTATAAGCCTTTTTTGCCTTATCGATGGATAATAAAGTTCCTCCCAATGTATGTATTTTCTTCTTTTTGGATACTTTGAATAAATCTCAAGGAAAGAACCCAGATTATAGCAGTAATTTCTCAGGTTTGCACAAAATTTCACCATATCCTATTTTATCTTTTTCTTCAGTAAAACAACACTAACTATGGGATGTGTTAGGTGAATGCAAGATGCACATATCTTAAAGTAATGAAGACAATCAATGTTGACTGCATGTTGGCTGGGCATGATGGCTCACGCCTGTAATCCCAGCACTTTGGGAGGCCAAGGCAGGTGGATCACCTGAGGTCAGGAATTCGGGACCAGCCTGACCAATATGGTGAAATTCCGTCTCTACTAAAAATACAAAAATTAGCTGAGGGTGGTGGCATGCACCTGTAGTCTCAGCTACTTGGGAGGCTGAGACAGGATAACTGCTTGAACCCAGGAGATGAAGGTTGCAGTGAGCCGAGATCATGCCACTGCACTCCAGCCTGGGCCACAGGGTGAGACTTTGTCTCCAAAAAAAAAATATATATATATATATAGAGAGAGAGAGAGAGAGAGACTGCATGTCTACACATGTTGGTGCATCAATGAAGCCTCATCTAATCTTTATAATAATCATGTAGAAGTGGAAAAAACTGCTACCTCCTTTTTGTAGATAGGAGAACGGAGGCTCAGAGAAGTGAGTTAACTTGTCCAAGGCCGCACAAGTTTGGGGCAAATTCAGGCTTGGAAGCAAGGTCTGTCACTTGGAAAGACCTTGCCCTTTTCCTTGCCCCAGTGAATGAATGGATACCTTGGTGCTGCATCTCCAAACACACGTCTCATGGGAGGCAGAGCAGGAAGATAAGATATGCATTCTGAGGCCTAGGGAAATCGTTGAGATTATGCCTCAGTGGAAAAAATAAAGGCTTGCATATGGTGGGTTGGTAATTGGTGAAGGAAATGAAGGTAAATGGACCACTAGGATGAAGGATACAGGGTCAGTTGCAGCAGGTTATACAATGATAAATAAATGTGCACAGGCCCCTCAAGAACTTGACAGTTATGATCCCAGGGAAAGGCTGGTGACTGAGGTCAGATTCCTCCAGTGTTTTGTGGTTTTGTTTTGTTTTTGTTTAACATCAAGGGTTCTATAAAAGTTAGAGAAAGTAGCTTTACTTCTCTTTACCACACATTTCCCTGAAGATCTCCAATTTAGGCTTGGTTTGGTGGCCCCTGAAAGGAAAGCACTTAGGAAGGGTGTTGGGAGGGGCATGAAGTTCTGGAAACAGGTGAATTTTATCTGATACGATGAGCCCTGTAATTCCATTGTTTTCTAAACTTGCTAAATTGACAAGGAGACTTACCCTCTCCACAGAGGCAGAAATAATTTATGACATCAATTTTACTACCTGGGTGGCTCTACATATCTTTATATAATGGCTCATATTGTCTTTGTAGATTTTTTTTTCCCTAGGGAACATTTTAATCTAGCTAGAGTAAATAATATCAATCACATTGCTCATATAATCGTTATTGGCTTGGGTCTTTTCTTTGATTAATTTCCAAATATTATTTCTATGCTGGAGGCAGCATAGAGGAGTAGAAATAACACTGGCCTGAAAATAAATTTAAGGTTAGAAGTCTGATTTCCTCAACAACAGACCCCAAACTTTCCATTCACTACCACACCTTTGGGTCAGCACTCTGCATAAAGTGCTTCACTCTCAGAAAAGGCATAACAGAGACATGAAATAAAGTGTGGCCCTGGAGCAGCCATCAGGGTTAGAAGTCTCCATCACCACTTCCTAGCTCTGTGACCTTGAGCACATTAGGGAACCTCTCCTTGCCTCTGTTCCTTAATCTGCAAAATGCTAACTGTAATGAAGCATATCTTCCTGGTTTATTGTAAGGATTTAATCAGAGAATTCATCAAAAAGTACTTTGGAGAGTACCTGTACCATGGTAGTGCTATAAAATGCTAACATTTATCATAATTACATCCTCCTTTCCATCCAAAAATGTTCCTCATGCACACTTAGCAAACTCCTGCAAATATTTCAAGTCTCAGCTAAAATGCCCCTTCCTCTAAAAACCCTTTCACAACCATCCCCTGCTTCTTCCCCAAAAGAAGTCATGCTTTCCTCTCTCTGATCCCTCCGATGGTAGTTTACTTATCCTTTCAGTCAGGAAATATTAACATAGCTGAGTGTGTGCAAGCACTGCTGCCATAGAGTTGTCAATAGGAAGGCACAGTCTCCACGGAGCTCACAACCTAGGAAGACATCACAGGCACAAAGGTTCCTTGCTCAGAGATGAGTCATTTCTCAAGCTGTATAAAATCCAGGGGCAGTCTCTGAGACCACATTAGCCATGTTTAGTTTTTCCTGTCTTTTTTTTCTTCATTCTGTTTCCTTTTCCCACTTTTCATTTTACTTTCTAGTTTTCCCTCCTCTCTTTTCTTCTCTTACCATTCTCTATTTTTCTCTTGTTTATTGTGGTTTTTTCCCTCTCTTTCTCTCTCTCCCTTTCTCTCTTTCAATGTGTGCTGTATGTGGGAGTAGAAGAACATTCAGGGAAGGCTTCCTGGAAGGGACAGTGTCTAAGCCAAGTCTTCCAGGCAGGGTGGGATTTAGATAATAAGTGGAGGAGTGGGTGGGATACAAATGGAAAGAAAGAAAGAGTCAGAAGGAACATCAAATGTGAGTCCCCTGAGAAGAAAGAATGAGAGGGAAAGTGTATGCATGCATGGCAAAACGTACCAAGTTTGGTAAGGTTGTCAACACCCCAAAGGTGTAGTGGGATTGGCAGGAGAGGCAGATTGTGAAACCCAGGTCATGGGAATTCAGGCTTTCTACGCTATGGTTGGATTCTCTTCTTGATGGGATGAGTTCTAAATTGGGGTTTTAAGGAATAAGGTGAACATGACAAGATTTGCATGTTAGAAAGATCACTATATCAGGGTGTAGGATGGGATTCAGGAGGCCAGATGGACATAAGGTGTTAAGGTATGCTACTAAAACAGTCCAAGCAAGAGATGTTGATGCTTCAAGGATGCCGGCAGGATGGAACAGTGGATAAACATGTAAGCGCCACTAAATCACTGGGTTCTAATTCTGGTGCAGCCATTCACAGATGCCAAATGAAAGGGCAACTGCCAATGTCCTACACTTTTAGCCAAATATCTTAGCATTCAAAAAAGGCTTTTGGTCCAGGTGGCCAACTCTTTAAAATAAAGATAAAAAGAATCCAAGATCTGCACAACACTCTATCATCAGATTTCATAGGTAAGAAACACAAGGCCTGCATATTTATTCATTTATTGTTTCAATATTGTACTGAAACCCAACTTTTTGACAGGCACTAGAAAAAAAAAAAAACAAGGTAATTTAAGGGTTAGAGCCTGATCAGGGTACATGTTTATACAGAATGGATAGAGAAGTTCCCTATAAATATAATAAATTTGATATTGATGGAAGTGGAGGAGACAGCAAGGCTAATGCTTGGGAGAAAACTGCTCCAGGCTGAAGGAACAGCAAGTGCAAAAGACCTGAGACAGGAATACGTGTGGTTCTTTAAGCAATAGCAAGGAGGCCAGCATGAGCTGTAGAGAGTAGCAGAATATGACTCAACGAAAGAGATGACAGGTTGTGAAGGGCATTAGAGGCCAGTGGCTTGGATTTATTTTCTACATGTGATGGGAAGCCATTATAGCAAAAAAAATCATATATTTTGATGTATGTTAATGAATTGCTTTGCCTGCTGTGTGGAAAATAGACCATAGCAGAGCAGAATGGAAAAAGGGAACTCACAGAGGAGATTATTATAGTGGCCAAAGGAGAAATTATGTTAGATTGACACAAACTACATTTATGTGTGGAAACAGTGAGAAGTGGTAGAATTCCAGATCTATGTTGAAGCTGGAACTGACAAAATTGGCTAATAGCATTGACATGGAATGGGGAAAAAAAGATAGAGGATTCAAGGATGATTCTAAGGTTGAGCCTGAGCAACTAGGTAAAATTGCTCTAAGTTGGGTAGGGTTCAGCTTACCTTTGGACATGATAAATAATTGACAATGTTGAATAGGTAGATGGGTGTGTGAATCGGGGGCTCAATGAAGAGGCTGAGAAAGCAGATGCAAATTTGGGAGTTATCAGCACATATCAAACCCCAGAACCCCATGTGAACAAAGATGAAGAAAAATTCCAAGGACTGAATCCGGGACTATCACAGCAGTTAGAGTTTAGAAAAATACATAAAATCTATCAAAAGTGACTGAGAAGCAGCAGCCAGCAGCAAGTGAAGACACAGAGGAGAGGGAAGAAAGTGTGTTAGGAAGGGAGTAGGTTTGGAAAATGTTGGTGTAAAATCAGCCTTTTCCCTTACTTTCCATACGTCACATAAAATCAAAAATGGAGAATGAAAAGAAAGCCATAAAGCACATATTTAATGGAAATAGCAGATAGTTATAACAACAAAATAGGCAAAACTGTGCCAAAAGCAATCGAGTATTGAACAGGGCTGTGGGAGAAAGCAGAAAGGTGAAACCCTTGATAGCATATCTTGGAAAGAGCCATCACAGGACACTTTGCTGGGATGCATAGCCTGGTCCCCAGGTGCAAATCCAGCAACGGGAGTGCTGCTGGTGCTGCTTCATCAAGAAACAGGTGGTAGAACTAAATGAGAAATCACACAAGAGGCACAAGGTAAAAGAGGAACTTTACATTTTGAACAGTTCTACAGATGCCTGTCTCTAATGAGTGGAAGGAAATAAAAGCTAAAAGAACTCACAAACAGTGGGCCCTAAGAAAATTTTGGTTAACCTGGAGTACTTCTCTGTTTCTTCACCATAAGCAGGTTGTCCAAGTAGCTGGTCCAGTAAAGAGTCAACTGCTTAAGATACATATGGAACCATAATAAGTGCTATAGATAAATAAAACAACAAAAAGATGAAAGAAACAGAGAAAGCACATGATATATAGAAAACATCCACCAGAAAAATATAGCCACAGAGATAAAAATTGTGATCAAACATTTTATTAGAATGTGGCTGATATCATAAATTGGCTAAATCAGTATTCACTCTTATTCCCTTCTAGCTTTTCTGGCTGGCTAAGAAACCACACAGTATAATTTCTCAGACTTGTAGCTCACGTTTTGCCTATGACAAAGATCCACTGAGGAAAATCACCACCTGAGATTTGGAAAAAAAAGAAACAGTGGAATCCACATATGGAGCACTGGTCTTCTGGCAAGCACGTGGATGGAGGGCACTGGTTCTGGGGCACCGGAGTGGAGATTCTAGTTCATAGTCTTCATTGCCCTGGGTGCTGAGTATGGGTGATAGCAGCAAACCATTCCTGCTAGGACACTGGGGATATGTGTTTGGGCATTGTCCCAGCTGCATTGCCCCTGGCAATGTGTAGTGTTCAAGCCTAGTTCACTAGCTCCTTAGGAGAGTTTGTGAGTTACCAAATACTCTTTAACAAACCCCTTTTGCTTTAATCATCTAGTACAAATTATTTTCTGTAGTTAAAGACACTGATCAATATTCACAAATTTTAAAAAAGAGAAAATTTAATGAAGCTATTTTAAAAATGTACAAAACAAAGTACACATTGGGGAATAGATAATGATACAACAAAAAGAGATAAAACATGAGCCGCACGCATCAAGAAGGAGGAGTGAAAAACATAAATGAAGGAAAAATTTAATATAAATTTAAATACATAAGTATATATATATACATATATATATGTATGTATATATATTTCTTGGTGTTGACTATTGAGTCAGTCTTTCCTTGAACTTATACATCTTTTAAATCTCTAGACATTGACATGTTTTGAACTGTAATTTTAAAAACCTGTTCTGCTTATTCATTTGAGTTTTCTTCTTAAGAGGCTCTAGTTACACATTGTAAAGTCCTAACCTGTATAACCATGTAGGGAAATATGTCTAGTTACGCATTGTAAAGTCCTAACCTGTATAACCACGTAGGGTCTATGTTGAAGACTTATTGCCTGTTTTTTATGGCTCTTTTGTTCTTTTATCTTTCTCTCTCTCTTTAGTGATATAGATCAGTTTCTCTTTAAAATATTAGTCATCATTCATCACTAGAAGAAGCAATACATTTAAAATATTCAAGAAAAAGATGTACAACATAAAAATGTTATATCCAGCCAAACTGTATTCAAGTATAAAAGCAAAATATAAATGTTTTTGTTTTTGTTTTTTGAGACAGAGTTTCGCTGCATCTCCTAGGCTGGAGTGCAGTGGCGCGATCTCGGCTCTCTGCAACCTCCGCCTCCTGGGTTCAAGTGATTCTCCTGCCTCAGCCTCCTGAGTAGCTGGGACTAAAGGCACGTGCCACCACACCCAGCTAATTTTTGTATTTTTAGTAGAGACAGGGTTTCACCATGTTGGCCAGGATGATCTCAAACTCCTGACCTCAAGTGATTCACCTGCCTCGGCCTCCCAAATTGCTGGGATTACAGGCATGAGCCACTGCGCCCTGCCCCACACGACTGTTTTTAAACATGAAACACATCAGAGAATTATTTCCATTAGTCCTCAAGGAAAATCCTAGATGACTAGCTTAATTTAACTAATAGATGAATAGGAAAAAATATAAAAATAGAATGTAAGCCAAGAATCAAGCAATTGGAGTCTAAGTATAGCTAACAGTATAAAAGTGAACACTGGGGTGATAATATACTCAAATTGTGGGGTGGAAGAGAGAAGGCAGAAAGTCAGAAACAAGGGATGTTTACTACTATTTAATTTGTTCATTATTATTTAACATTGTCCTAGGGGTTTTACCCAACATGATCAGACAAGATAAATACATTAAAAATATAAAAATTGAAGAGGAGGTGGTAAAATTATTCTTATTTACAGATATCATGATTAGGTATCTGAAAACTCTGAGAGAATCAATTGAAAACTACTACAAACAAAATAATTCAGTAATTGACCAGATACAAAATTAATATAGAGGAATTGGCAGCCTTTTATATAAACAGCAAAACAGAAAATGTCAGAAAAAATCCCAGTTTTTTCTGTTGATTGCAAAAATTAAAATACTTAGAAATAGCTTCAGGAATAATGTGTAAAACACATCAGGAGAAATACCTAATGTAGACGATGGGTTGATGAGTGCAGCAAACCACCATGGCACATATGTACCTATGTACCAAACATGCACATTCTGTACCTATATCCCAGAACTTAAAGTATAATTTAAAAAAATTATTAAACAGTGAAAGAAAAACCAAAACAAAACACTAGCGAAAGAAATCTTAGATGCTCCCAAGAAACCTGGCCTACCTAGAGAGCTTCATTCTCACTATGTGCTGCACCATTCCTTTCACCTTATCTGGACTCCACAAACACACTTTAAAAACCAATTATTCTGAGTCATTTAAGCCTCATAGAGGTCTCCTCTCTCACCCCTTCTTCTGGAATAATGTCTATTTCCCCTTCAGGTCTTGAGACAGACACTATATCATATTGAAAGCCATGCCTAGCCAATCAAGACTGTTTTAGGTATCCTGACACACAATGTATTTAAATTGCTTGTTTAACTATTTGTCTCTCATAATAGACTTTGAGCTCATCAAGGCAAGACCAAGTATGTTCAGCTGTGGCACCCTGGTGCCCAGCACAGAGCTAGTGCTCAATAAAATAATGGAAGGATAGAATAATATAGACATGGAGAAAGAACACTGACTGAAAGAGGACATGGAAATGTGAAAACAGTTTAATTTGATGAGACTGGGGTTGTAATGAGTTTTTTCTCTCTTTTGTTTCCCATAAATATTAATATATTTGCCCACTACAAGCAAATGAAAAGCATGGGGAAAAACACTAATGCATATATGCATACACAAATCTATTCCAAAACCAGTTTATCTCCCAATGAGACCCAAAACATATGTGATGTAAGTACTTTTACAGGTCATCAGGAGGAAACAGGAAAACATATGCAATAAAGACTAAGAAGAGACAGTAGGGTGAAGAGCAGTCAATAATGAATAAAGAAAATGTGGTACATTTATACCATAGAATACTATGCAGCCATAAAAAAGAACATGATCATGTCCTTTGCAGGAAAATGGATGGAGCCGGAGGCCACTAACCTTAGCAAACTAACACAGAAACAGAAAACCAAATACTACATGTTCTCACTTATAAATAGGAGCTAAATGATGAGAACACATGAACCCATAGAGGGGAACTCCACACACAGGGGCCTTTCAGAGGGTGGATGGTGGGAGGAGGGAGAGGATCAGGAAAAATAACTAATGGGCACTAAGCTTAATACCTGGGTGAGGAAATAATCTGTACAATTCCCAAGACACAAGTTTACCTATGTAACAAACCCACACTTTTACCCCTGAACTTAAAAGTTAAAAAGAAAAAGGAAAACAGTCAGTAAAAGACAAAGCTAATATTTATAAAATAAAAGTAACTAGCAGAAGACATCTTTTCAGAGCACATTGGAGTGAATAAAAGCCTCCTTTAAAAACAGTTGACAGGGAGCATTTATCTAACACATTAACTTCGGGCTATTACAGATGAAGGATTAAAGTTTTTAAAAATCAGTAATAATGTCCCTCATGCAATCAGGAAACAACTTAATATAGAATGATGCAAAACAAAAACAGCATGAAGAAGATTAGCAAATACCAGATGACACTAGAAATAAACCTTAGCTGGATTATAGCAGTCACACACAGCAAGATTCTTTTATTAAAAATCATTTTTCCATAGGTTATTGGGGTACATATGGTGTTCAGTGACATGAGTAGGTTCTTTAGTGATGATTTGTGAGATTTTGGTGCGCCCATCACCCGAGCAGCTTAAAGGTCTTGAGCTAAGATGGACTGAAAATTAACATCAGAGTTCCACCATATACCAACAGTTTGTATGGCATATAGTTACATTTTTGTGAACTGTAGTTTCTTTTCCAAAGCAGGACTCTAAAAATCCCGGTGTTGCATCCAAATGTTCCAAGTCAAATAATCCATTTAAATAACCTAATTGGATCCACTTACCTATGAATGGCCCCCATTGACTCTATCAAGACTGGTACCAGGTACCCAGACAGAGTAGAAGAGTGAAGACTCCAGTCCTGCATCACAACATAGCTAGACTTCCTGTTTGAATGTCGTGTTTGGTGTGCTGAGATTTGGAGCAGAATTTTAATTCATCCACTTACCATCTTTGACAAGTAACTCAACAACTCTGAAATCTCAAATTTTTCATCTGTGAAATCAGCATAATAATAGCTACCTCATAGGTGGTTTTGAGATTTAATTATGGTGCTATGTAGACTGTCTAACATACAGAGAAAACCAGATAAATGATAGCTACTATTCAGACCCAATCATCCAATAATTGCATAGTCTCTGTTAATATATCTTTATTGGACTTTGCATTTCAACATGGTCAGTGCCTGACAAGTGGTATTTCTACTGATTACTCTGAGGCTAGCCTGTTTGAATGTACTGCTAGTTCCGTGAGGAAAGGAATTTGTGTTTGTGTTATTCACTGCTGTATCTGCATCATTTAGAATGGTGCCTGGCACACAGTAGATTTCAAATACCACTGACTGAACAGTGATTCTCTGAATGAAGGCTTATGAGATATCTGTACATTCTCTGTGACACTCTTTCTCTGTCCCAGCAAATCTGGCAATTTTATCAATGTTATCTGTCATCCCATGTTCATTTACATTATATACACCCAGGAGGATGGCAGTCTTCTTAAAAGCTCACATACTTAAAAACATTCCTAATCAATTTAATTCTGAAAACTTCAGATGATTCCAGAGTTACAAGAGTGATTTATATTTCAATAGCCTAACTTGTTAATTTTTAAATCACCTATCTCTACAACTTTTGCAAATGAAGAAAGATATGCCATGAAAATATTAATCAAAAGAAAGCTGGTATAATTCTATTAATTTCAGAAAACATAGAATCCACAATAAGAAATATTAGAGATAAAAAACTCATTACATAGCCACAAATGCGTCAATTTTCCAAGAAGACATAATCCTAAATGTGTATACTTCTAATAGCTGAACTTCAAAAACTGATTTTAAAAAGAAGTACAGATCTCTAAAATTAGAGTTCAAACTTGCTCTCTCAATAATTTATAGAACAAGTAGAAATAAAGTAAGGTTATAGACAAACTATCAATCAGTTTGACCTAACTGATATTTATAGAACACTCCAATCCAACAATAGTAGAATATACATTCTTCTCAAGCGTGCATGGAATCTTCTCCAAGAAAGACTTAATCTGAATCATAAAACAATTCAACAAGTGTAAAAGAATAGAGACTATATATTTTCTTGAGTCACAATGAAATTAAACTGGAAATAAAAACAGAAACATAGCTGGGAAATTCCAAAATATTTAGAAATTAAATAAGACAATTCTAAATAATTCATAGGTTCAAAAAGAAGTTAACAGGGAAATTTTTAAATATTATAAATGAAATTTAAAAACATATCAAAATTTGTGGCATGCAGCTAAAGCAGTTCTTAGAGGGATATTTATATCACTAAATGTTTATTTTAAAACATTTACGTGACTCAAAACTAAAAATTATACAAAAAGGTGCATGCATTGAGATGTCCTTTTTTCAAACCTAACCTCTCCATCCATTTTTTTTTCCCATACCACCACTACCATCACCACTTTGCTCATAAAAGTAATGGTTTTTATTGGTTTCTGGCTTATTTTTTCCAGTGTTTCTTTTGCAAAATAATCAAATACATGTAACTATACTTACATTTTATCGTTTCTTATATAAAATGTAGCATCTTGTATACCCTTTTCTATACAAGAAGATAGTTTTTAATATTCAGTCTTCCTAGGAAAAGATTTATTTAAATAACTTTAAGAAATCTGTGACTGTGGTATATTACTTCATTGAACTCTCTGTGTTTTTTGGGACTAACCATGTTTAATTTAAATATAAGAAAAGTACATAGTTAAGGTTATGGTAAATATTAAAACAAATAATTGCATATAGAAGCATAATTCTAAACTATGAAATACTATTGAAATATACAATAGTCAGTGACATAAGAATAACTGACTTTTTAAAAGAATGCACATTTAAAATGAAAAAAGTAATTATCTGTTTTGAACTAGTTTAAGGAATAAAAGGGCATTTATCTACTCATGTAATTGTCTGATAGGTCAATGCTAGAATCTTTCTCCAGGATAACAGGAGCTGGAGACTTAAATAGTCTCCCCATACATCATATTAATAAATTTAGGACCTGTCCCTAGTACAGATAATAGGTTGGAGAGAAAAGTTAAGGTCGAGTGTTCATGAAGAATTTGGTTGTAGTGAAAAATTTACAGCATTTTAAGGTGCTGTTTGTTCTTCTTGATTTCTAACTTGGTAGATCAGTAATTTAAAATTCAACCTTTGATATATAGACCAATAACACATTCTTGATTTAAGGACAATAATCACTGCAGTTGTGAAAATAAACACCACTACTTATACTGCCTGGCAGGGTCTGCATTGTAAAACAAGCCTGAGTTGTGTTTATATTGCATTTGGATTGATGGGGAATGTGGCATTCATCTGCCAGGGGTCACTTCAGGCTTCCATGGCAGGAGGCCATATAATTTAAAAAATTAAAAAATTAAATTAAATTAAAAAGCCCCTGCAGATATTTGCTAGTACTGCTTGATACTCAGGAATTCAGGAATTGAATATTATAGGGTAAGGTGTGCTTTAAACACAATCTTAGGATTCTGCAGGCACAATGACAGAGGAAGAGACACGGGCCATGGAATATTCAGATGTGGAGCAGAATCTTAATTCATCGACTTATCACTATGCATCTTTGACAAGTAACTCACAACTCTGAAATCTCATATTTCTCATCTGTAAAATCAGTATAATGATATCTACCTCATAGGGTGGTTTCGAGGTTTAATTAAGGTGCTATGTAGAGTGTCTAACATACAAAGAAAGCCAGATAAATGATAGCTACTATTCAGACTCAGTCATCCGATAATTGCATAGTCTATGTTAATATATCTTTATTTGACTGTGCATTTCAACATGGCCAGTGCCTGACAAGTGATATTCATATTGATGACTCTGAGGCTAGCCTGTTAAGTCCCTAAGGGATTCTTAATCCACAAATAATAAATGGTGATGAAAAGGGTTTTAGCGCTAATGTATTTAATCAGTTTTTATTAGCATCACATTGATAAATTCAATGGGAATATCTCACAGTCTTATTTTACTGGCCTTCTCTGCAGCTTTTGACACTGTTCAAACTCTTTCTTGAATATTAGGGTTTTAAAATTTTAGTATGAATAACACATTTTCCCCAACCTCCCTAACTGGTCTTTCCAAATATTTTTGTGGGCAACACCTTTTTTTTTTACTTCTTAAATATTGGTTTTCCTTAGGCATCTTTCAGAAGACATCCCTTCTCACCTCACTAATCTTTTTAGACAATGTATTTCATTCCTATGACTTCACTTGTCATTTAAGTCATGGCCGCTGAGTAAGGCTGTGCAGTCTGTACACTGCCCGAAAGTGCTAGGCCAAGAGAGAGAGAGTGCTGGCAGAGATTCAGTCTGTGTTCTGCTTGCCAGGATGTGTACTCCAGGGCCAGTATTTACCTAGAGGAGGGCTTTTTCTAATTTATACAAAATTATTCCATATGTGAGCAACTGCCCTTTTCTAAATGACACTTACAAATTCATGCATGCACACACACACATACACATACGCACAGTGCAAATCTTTATACTTATATCAAGCTTTACAAATTTAACTGCCAGTGTGAATCTCCATCTGTATGAATCAAACTCCACATGACCTAAACTGAGCCAGTTCCTTCTTCACCCAACTTTACAGTTTCATCCATGTCCCCTATCTCTCTGGATAGAATTAATATCCACCAAATGCCTCAGCCAGAAATTTAAAGCTACATTTCACCGCTCCCACTCCCTTACTGTCAATATTGAATAACAGCAAACACTCTGCTGTCTGTACTGCCCAGACTGCCCTTCAGGACTTAAGTGCATATTTCTCCAAGTGGTAAGAATGCTGCCAGCTGAGAGCTTGCAGCCATCTGCCCTCTCCGGGATTTCCCCAACCCTAGAGCACTACCTCATCCAAGAGTACAGCGCATGCCCAGTGACTAGTTCTTGGAGAATTTAAAGGCCCAACTCTAGACAACTCTACCGGACCGTCCTAGCTCCAGAGCTCCCAGTGAATGCCTTATGTCTTCATTACAACCCCATTTCTCCCTCTCCATAGTTCTGCTTCCTTCTCTTTCCCCTCAGACATTGATCCCAAGAGCACTTTCAAATGACATTCTGCACACTCATGGTCTATGCCATCAACCATCCTCCAAGTGTCAGTGGGATATATTCATTCTCTCCATCCTTGCTATTACTTCCATATTTATGTCATCCTAATCCCTCACCTGGATGATAGCTGCTGCCTTTATCTTCTCATCTGTAATTTTCTCTGCTTGTAATCCACTGTCTACACTGTCAGAGTAATGATTTGATCATACACACACTACTTAATTCCTTAATTCTTTTCTGGAAGAGTGAAATCTATACTTCTTAACATAGCTTGGAAGATCCCTTCTGTTCTGGTCTCTACTGTTTACCAACCTCATCTTTCATTACTTACTTCATTTTGTTCCTATCTCTGACCATGCTCAACCATTTCTGGTATTTACCTACTTGTTTAATGTATCAAAATTTCTTTTGCCTTTCAGACTTTGTCCTTAAACTTGGTGACCTTTGCTTCCCACATCTCCCTCCATCTCTATTCCTTAAGCCATCCTTTTGCCTCCAGTGCAACCTGAGAACCTAAAGCCCAGCTAAATCTTATTAAAATCCTTTAAGTCTCAGAATTAATACTACTTGTTCTAGAAAATATTTTCTAAATCTTAGGAGACTAGATATATCATGTTCTCTCTGTGCTTCCATAGCATCCTGTACTTAGTCCTAAGAAGCACTATTGATATTGTATTGTGATAGACTTTTATATCTCTTAAATAATTTATGTTTTATCTCTCAATTCATTAAACTGGTCAATTATATTTACATTAATAGTGTGTCTAATGATAAACCTTTCTCTTACTCAAAGGATAAATATGAATAAATCATAAGATATATTTCAATGTGCTGTTGAATGTTGGTTAATTTTTTTTTCAAATTTTTATGTTGCTACTCTTTAAGCAACACTGCCTATTATTTTCTTTCCTTGTACATTCTCTGGTTTTAAAATCAAGATCATATCAATCATTTTAAATAAGATAGAAGCTATTTTATCTATCTCTATTTTCTACAACTGTACAAGGCAAGGTAAGTATTTTTTGTTCCTCGAATGTTTGATATAATTCTCTTATCTGGATATAGAAATGTTTGTGTATTTTTAATAGTGAGTGCAATTTACCTTAATATACACAGGCTTATTCATATTTTCAATTTTCCTTTGAATTTGTTTAAAGTTACAGTTTTCTGAAAATATTGTTTCACCTATGATTTGAAATTTTAATAGCACTACATGTTTACATATGTAACAAAACTGCCCATCCTGCATATATGCCCCCAAACTTAAAATAAAAGTTGGGAATTAAATTAAGAAAATGTGGCACATATACACCATGGAATACTATGCAGTCATGAAAAAAGATGAGTTCATGTCCTTTGCAGGGACATGGATGAAGCTGGAAACCATCATTCTCAGCAAACTATCGCAAGGACAAAAACCAAACACCGTATGTTCTCACTCATAGGTGGGAATTGAACAATAAGAACACGGGACACGGGAAGGGGAACATCGCACACCGGGGTCTGTCATGGGGTGGGGGGAGCGGGAAGGGACAGCATTAGGAGATATATGTAATGTAAATGACGAGTTAATGGGTGCAGCACACCAACATGGCGCGTGTATACATATGTAACAAACCTGCATGTTGTGCACATGTACCCTAGAACTTAAAGTATAATAATAATAAAAAAAAGTTGGAAATTAAAAAAGAAATTTAATGGCATTACGTTGTTAATAATAATCTCTAATTTTTCAGAAGTAAATCTTTGTTCTATCCAAGGTTATATTCTCCTTTTTAGATATAATTTTGTTCATTTGTGCTTTCTGTTTCATAACCAATCTTGCCAGCATTTTGCCTATTATTTGCCTTCTTAAAACATATCTTTTGTCTTTGTTGTTTGTTCCATCATTTTTTGTTTTCTATTAATTTTTGTACCTTTATGTTCTTTTGTTTTTATATTTTCTCTATTTTTATTATTCAAAATTTTAAATTGAACATTTATTACTTTTCAGCCATTCTTTTTTTACATCAGCATTTATAACTATAAATTTTCATCTAAATACTGCTTTAGTTGTATCCTACAAGCTATTTAGTGTTTTCATTTTCATTGTCTTAAGCATTTTCTAATTGCCATTATGATTTCTTATTTGACCTACATATAATTTCAGAGCCTGTTTTGATGTTTACGTATGTAATTTTTAATATTAATAATTGTTGGTTGAATATTTAAAATTTAATGTGATTGCATTTGTTACAAGTAAGGAGTCCAATCCAGACCCCAAGAGAGGATTCTTGGATCTTGTGTAAGAAAGAATTCAGGGCAAGTCCATAGAGTAAAGTGAAAGCAAGTTTATTAAGAAAGTAAAGGAATAAGAGAATGGCTACTCCACAGACCAGCCCCAAGGGCTGCTGGTTGCCCTTTTTTATGGTTATTTCTTGATGACATGGTAAACAAGGGGTGGATTATTCATGCCTCCCCTTTTTAGACCATATAGGGTAAGTTCTTGACATTGCCATGGCATTTGTAAACTGTCATGGCGCTGATGGGAGTACAGCAGTGAGGACAACCAGAGGTCACTCTCATCGCCATCTTGGTTTTGGCGGGTTTTAACCAGTTTCTTTACTGCAACCTGTTTTATCAGCCAGGCCTTTGGACCCGTATTTCATGCTGACCTCCTATCTCATCCTGTGACTTAGAATGCCTTCACTGCCTGGGAATGAAGCCCAGCAGGTCTGAGCCTCATTTTACCCAGCTCCTGTTTAAGATGGAGTTGCTCTGGTTCACATGCCTCTGACGCATTCAGAGAATATGGTAATAGATCTTAATTTGTATTAATTTGCTGCGTTTTTCTTAAAGAATGAAAATCTGGTCAATTTTTGTTAATCCTCATGTGGACTTGAGAAGAATGTATGTTCTACAAATTGTAGAATACAGATTTTGATAACTGTTGAGTACAGCTTATTAATCTTGTGGTTTAAATTTTGTTTGTATCCTTCCTATTTTTCTGTCTGCTTTATTAGATAGAAGTGTTAAAAATCTCCCATGATGGTAGTTAATTTATCAAATTTCTTTAGATATAGTGGCGTGTTTTACAGGTTTAAAATTTAAATTTTTTGTGAATTGTTCCTTTTAACATTAAGCTGGGATCATCTAGAGTCATGTGTTACTTAACAATGAGGATACATTCTGAGAAGTGTGTCCTTTGGAGATTTTTATTGTGTGAACATCATAGAGTGCATTTACACAAGCCAAGGTGGTATAGCCCACTACACACCCAAACTATATGGTATAGCCTATTGCTTCTAGGTTACAAACTTATACAGCATATTACTGTACTGAATACTGTAAGCAATTATAACATGATGATATTTGTGTATCTAAATATATCTAACCATAGAAAAGATACAGTACAAATATGGTATAAAAGATGAAAAATGCTACATCTGTAGGGCACTTACCATGAATAGAGCAGGTAGGGCTGGTGGTTGGAAGTTGCTCTGGGTAAAGTCAGTGAGTGAGTGGTGAGTAAATGTGAAGACCCTAGGACATTACCGTATACTACTGTAGACTTTGTAAACACTGCACACTTACTTAAGCTACACTAAATTTGTTTAGAAACAATTCCTCATTAATAAATTAACCTTAGCTGATGGTGACATTTTTACTTTATAAATTTTTCATTTTTTTAGCTTTTTGACTCTTGTAATAACACTTAGCTTAAAACACACATTGTAAAGCTGCAAAAATACTTTTGTTTATATTCTTATTATATAAGCTTTTTTATACTTTAAGTTTTTTATTTTTTTTAAACTTTTTTGTGAAAATTTGGAACATCAACATATACATTGGCCTAAGCCTCCACAGGGTCAGAATAATCAATTTCAGTGTATTCTACCTCCACATAGGCTCCATTATAATGTTATGAACTACCATTATATATGCGGTTTATCATTGACTGAAATGTCATTATAGGTTTCAAGACGGTATAGCCCTAATTAAAACTTTTACCTGTTCCATCTATTATATGCCATTAATAGTGAAATTGTATGGGTATGGTTTGGTTGGGTTAGTATTGTCCTAGTATATATTTTTATTAGCTTATTCATTCTTACAACTTCTTTTTACATTCTCTGTTTTCATGTTTTATATGTGTCTCTTTTAAACAACATATAGGTAATTCTTTTATTACTAATTGGCAATCACTGTCTTTTAACTGGTTAAGTATAGTCCATTTATCTTTATTATGATAACATATATTCCATCATATTCTGTACAATTTATTCTGTTTTTCCTTTGCTTCCCCATTTCTTAAATTCTCTTAAATTGTCTTTTAGTACCTCCTAGTTAGGCATACACCTATAAATAAAGCAATAGTTTTAAAAATAACCAATGAACAGAACAAAAAGTCTACTAAGTTATTCCTTTGCTAGCATTATCTAGAAGTACAACAGTAAGAAAATAACTTTTTGAAGAAAACATAGAAAACTTTTAAATATGTGTGTTTAATTAGATAATCTAGGTTATACTATACTAACAAATGAATTATTAAATATTATTTACTTAGAACTTGCTCATGCAAGTCCACTATGGGTCAATGAGGACTCTCCTTCATCAAAGATAGTGATAAAGGCTTTCCATTCCTGTGACATGCTATCTCAATACCTGAATATGGACATTGTTATATAGGTGAAGACTGAGTTGGAGACAACTCAGTTGAAGAACATGCACCAGCTTTTAATTGCCTTGGCTTGGACACACATCACCTCTACTCTCAGCCTACTGGCCATAACTAGTCATGAGCCACTCACCAAATTATGAAGGGAGTTGAGAATGTAGGGGAGCATATGGAATATTTGCAAGGCCTAAGTGTCTCTGTCATAAATACAGCATGAGTGGCTGAGATCACAGGAGGATGTTTTTGTCATTATAACCTTTGTATATCTTTAGCTTCTAGAATAATGCTTGATAGGTAGAAGGCCCCCAATTTATGCATATAAATAAGTAAGTGATTGATAGAATGAATAAATAATGAAAGATTGCTACATCAGAAAGAGCCCAACCTTAGAATGTGGAGATCTGATCTCAAGTTCCATCTCCATCACCACTGGATCCCTCTGGGCAGATTATTTAACTTTTGCTCTTTTCTTGCCTATCAGATAAGAGAAGTTATGATACTTTTATTTTACTCAAAAGGCTATAATAAAAATTCATTCATTGATTCATACACTCATTCATTCAACAGATATGCCTTAAGTTCCAATTGTTGGCCACACTTTGGAGAAGGAAATAGAGTCTACAACAATGTGCATTGAGGATAACAGCATTTGGTAGATTTGTTGTATGAATTTAATGAGAAAATAAAAAAATCTTAGCATTGTTTTTTTAAGAAGACTAAATAAATGTTCACTGTTTCATTGTTCTCTGAGCTTCCAGAAGTTTCTGCCATCTGACAATAGTAGGAGATTATGGGTAAACTGCAGAATCAATTTATGCTTCCTCCATATCAGAAAGTCAGATGAATCTCAAGAAATAACTAAACAATTGTGGCCAAGAAGCAATGTGATGTTTTTTCATATTCTTAAAATAAATTGAGTGATTCAAAAATTAAACATCATCATTTTCTGGGGTCATCACTGAGCACGAAATTTTAATTTGATCCTTGAAAGGAACCACCATATGTTCCATTTGAAGTCTGAGAAAACTGAATCCCTTCAGCATTGTCATAAATTGAGAATCAGGGGAGGTGCTATGTCAGAAATTGAGAGCACTGAGTCAAATTTTCCTCCTAAACAGCTTCCAACGTTAGTTAATTAGCCAAGTTCGAATTTAGGATAATTCTTTTTAATTGAAGAAAGTGGGTATTCACAAACTCTGCTTCAGTAATTGCAAGAAGAATGAATTGCCATAAAAATGTAAGAAAAGTGTTTCTCTCATTTTGTATGAATCTTATGTCTACCTCAATATATCAGTAAATTCAATATGAAATTTAAACTTGAAACCATCTACCAAGTTTCTCAGAGAACTTTATTACTACTTCAAAAAAACTAAATTAAATTTCTATTGTAGAATATTCTCTGATTTCCCACAATAATACCACTTTTCCAAAATCGTAATAAAGACACATTCCCATGGCTTTTTAAAATGTCTTTGTGAGTTATATGGAAGGCCTGCACATTTAGCTTATGCTTTGGATAATTCAAAATGAGTCATACAAAAAGTAGTCTTTTTCTCTGTGAAGATAAGAGTTTTGCTTGTAAATATTTATATTACTTTTGTCTCCAGTAATATCTGGAAACACTTGGACAGGATGTTAAAGAGATCTCTCAGCCTCTTTCTATACTTTGTCTTAAAATGCAGAAAATGCCAAAGGAACTTGTTTTTCTCTTAGAGGAAGTTTTAAACTGTTATTACAAAAAGAATACACTTCATTATTTTTAAAAATCAAGTGGTACAGGATGGTATAAAACAAACTGAGTAATTTCCTGCCTCTAACTGTAGTGTCACTAGAGGCAGCCACTGTCCTCACACTTTGTATAAAATAACAAAATATAAACATGTTTTCATGCATTGCATGATTTGCTTTTTTCACTTAATAACACATGCTCAACTTTTAAAAGTCAGCACTTATAGGTTTATAGCAATCTTTTAATGGGTTTAAATTATTCTGCTTAACAGTAATATTGTGACTTATTTAATTAATTTAGGTGAACATTTGGATAGTTTCCAGATATTGTTATTACTACAATGAATGCTGACCCCATATTTTGATTTTTACAAATTATGGCTAATTGTGCTGCACAAGTAGGCAAGGAAACACAAAGTCTAATATCTGCTCTTGTTTATTTGCTTACAACCAGTTCTGATATCTCAATCACTGGATGATCAAAATTTTTTTAATTAAATTTGCATAAACATTTATTACATAATTGTTTTCCTTGATTTTGTGAAAGTTTGTCACATATCTCATGGAAGTTTTCATCTGTACTCTTTTACAAAAAATAAAAATAAAATCAAGACAGTTAATGTACATGGCCAGCCTGGAAGTTCCAAGTTACTGAGATTATCAGAATGCAAATAAATGTGTTCTTTATCTTTTCTCACATTGTTTTGTAAAGTGAAGTGGTTAAAGTAATCAGTTTTTGGAGTGTGAAACATTGCATTAAGCCGTGGTTCTGCTGTTAACTGGCTATGTGGTTTAAAAAAATTACTTAATATTCCGAAACCTTGTTTTCTTCATTTCAAAATGTGGATGATTATAAAAACTAGTTTTATATGGACATAGGGATAGTGATAGGTTACAGAAGATATGCAAGTAAATCTAGCACAGAGTTTAGCACCTAGTAAGTGAATACTAAATCTTAGCTATCATCACCATCATCGTTGTCATCATCATCATCATTTTTTTTAATACATAAGATTCTTATTCTGTTCACCCTAAAATTTACTCTTCACCATCTACAAGATAAATCAGCCTTCACGCCTCTTAGCCTGACCTATCTTGTCTTTAATAACACATTTCCACTGTGTACCTCTAGCTTCATTTGCTACATATCACTGTCATTTCCTGAACCCAAATCATTCTCCCTCATATACATACTCCTATTTTACCCAAACTGTCCTCTTTTTCTTATGGCAAATTCATACTCAGCCTTGCGGTTTTCTCTCAATAATGTATTTGTTCTATTACTATGTGGGACAGTAGAGATGTAAAGTGAAGAAGGAGAAGGCAGATGTGTAAATTGGTGAGTACACTAAAGTGCACAATTGATGCATTGGAAGTCTGCTCTTGGAGCAATGGATCCACCAGTGTTGGAGTGGTCATTGGACTTGGTGGGGTGGGCAGAAAGCCAGAAAAAGTCTACATGGGAGAGATGCCTTTTGGATAGCAGTAGTTATTATCATAAACATAATATTTCTTTTGTAAAGATTTCCACAGACATATCTTAGAAAGGATTTTGTGGGGCAAGGATAAGCGATGGAAAATATTCCAAGCAGAGAGGTCTAAGTCAGCAAAATTATAAAAGCATAAACATTAGGTGCATGAAAGAATCTCAATAGAGGATGTGAGCAGTTGATGAGGAGGAAAGCACAGCCCAGATCTCAAGGGACTAGGTTTAAGTAATAAATTTTTACTGTGGACAATGAAATAAGTGATAAATTTTATGTAAGAAAGTAACTATTCAATGCTTAGGATTCTAATCACTCATCTCTCCCTACCTTCTACCCATTGGGCAAAAATCAGTTGAACAGACACAACTAAATGAAGACCAAAGAAAATTATCAGGTTTACCCACGGAACTATGGTAATGACTAAATAAGGGAAGGCTTTGGGCCTCCTCCCTCTATCCCCACATGTGGGACGTGAAATATGGGATGTGCACTGCTCAGTCCTCCACTATTAAGAACACTTACCCAGTCATCAACCTGGAACATGGAAAGCCTGCTTCTTGACCCCAGTTGCCACCAGAATGAAACCTACAGGAGAGCAGCAGGCTTCTGTTCTGCTTTTGACTTCAGGCCCTGAGCTCTGGCCCAGGGGTGCTCACTGCATGGGGGCAGGAAACAGAAGATAGCCCACTGCCCTACTGCAATAACCCATGAATCATCAAGAGGCACGTTTCAGCCTGTTTCCTTTGCATTTGAAGCAAAGCTGTTCTGCCTATAAGCAAGCATGTTTCAGTATGTGTCAGGCATTTACCATGAAACCAGTAAGAATAAGAGGTTTCTACCATGGGGAAGCATTAGTAAGTCGGGAAAGGAGTGAACTATTAGACCTCAGATCTTCCCTGATGGAACTGTCATCTCTGTGAAGTTCTCCTCTCCATGGACTGAAGAGAGGACAGGGATGGGAGAGGTGACTGCTCCCTCCATGAAGTGGCACAGATAGATTTGCTCCCCTTCCTTTCTGATGTCTTCCCTGACTCACCCAGAAAGTTTCAAGGTCCCTTTCCTCTCTGCACAAAGGACATCTCGTACAAACCACCACCTTTTAAGAACTTATTGTAGGATTCCTTCTTTTTTTATTTGCATTGTCTATATTATCTTAGACCAACAGTTCTTAATCCTTGGCAGGGAGGGGAGGAAGGGGTTGAAGATTTCTTTTGTATGTAATAAAAGAAGCCAAATTCCTCTTGTTCTCTCTTCCCTTTAGAGCCCATCCCCTAAAAAGCATACAAAAGCACTTTAGAAAGTTCACTGATAACTCTGAAACACCTCCTTAATTCATGTTAACCACACCCAAACTAGGCTGTGAGCTTTAAAAAGAAAAGGTAGAATTAACTTTTTAAACTCTAATCATCCACTACCATGTTTGACTCAGAGTAAGAGTTAAAGTAATATCCTTCAAACAAATAGTGCACAAGCAAAATAAAGTGCAAGTAATTCACTAGCTTCTATTGCCTGACACATTTCAATTTGAGGAACATTGTTTGAACTTCTGGTACTTACCAATGCTGTTCAAGTCTCACCCCATGCTCTACCCTATTTCCTCCAAAATAAACGATAAAAAATGAAATGCAATCAGAGTAAAGATCTCCTACCCTAGCCCTTTTATAAAAAGCAAGAATTGAGTTTAGAATGTGCTCTCCAGGGTTTTCAACATCAGCCATATGACAAATAAACCAATAGAAGGAAGAGATTAGTAAAAAATTGGGCAACTATTTCAAAGTGCCTACATTTTCTGAGATTTAAAAGAGCAAAATCTTACTAAGTGCTATTGCGACAAAATACTGCCATCATGATGATACTATGGAGTTAAAACAGATTTCAAAATGTGCATGTCACTTTATTATGCACAATATTATTTTAAAAGATATCAGTCTATGCTATGTAATCACAACATGAGTACATGAAGGGAATTTTAATTACAAACCCAAGGTCTTCAATTAGAAGAGATGAAAGGCAAGGGAGCCTGGGAGTTGGTTTTAGTGCTCAGCGCAGTGCATCTGAGAGGCAGTGAATAGGGAGACTGAGACACAGTCAGTGTCAGCCAGGGAGCAATACAAGAAGGCTTGTATTTGTCAGTTATTTTCTGTAGCTTCGTTGTCCCAAATGAGGCAAGCCAGTTTTGCTGGACATCCAACATCCCATTGATCCAAACAAATACCCAAGCCCAGTAAGCATCAAAGAGAGAAGAAATACTACTGGTAGTGAAGGTATAAGGAAACAAATGAAAGATATCATAGAACCCAAATAAGGAGGATTTACAGAAGAACTCAGATGTAAGAGAGGGAGCACATGCACCCCATGCTTGACTGCAAAGCTGCTCTGAGAAGTAAGCCCTACCCACCAAGTCCTTCTACAGAAGCTACAGAAAACTGACAAATACAAGCCTTCTTGTGCATGAGTAGCTTTTGGGAGGTGTGGAATTACATCAAAAATCTTTTTATCCTTCATCTTTATTTCTTGCATATCAGAAAATACTTTAATGATGACCTACTATGTGCTAAGCACTGTGGTGCACAAAACCCAGACTTGTACTCTCATGGAGCTTGCAGTTAAGTTGAGAAGACAGCTATTAACCAGATAGTCCCATGAATGAATCTATTGTTCCAAATTAAGATTAAACAAAACAATTCCTTGAGTGTATAAGTAAAGAAATATGACTTAGACTAGGTGCTCTGAAAAGTTACCCTCTAGAAGTAACACTTAATCTGAGAGCTGAAGGAGGAATAGGAGTAACCAGGAGAAGAGGGAGACAGGTTTTTCAGACAGAGAAAACAGCTTGTGTGAGAGCTATGTGTTGAGAGACGAGGTGAACAGTTCTAAGAGTTAAAGCCCTGATAGCCAGCCCTGCCACAGCACAAAATGAAGGCAAAATGTATATTAAAAATTAAATAGAATCACTACAACTCATCAGTATAGCCAATGACACTAATACTCATAATGATTATCATGTTGATAATAATAAATAGTACTATCAATTTTGTATACCTACTATATACTAGACCTTATGTTAGGTAATGGAAATACATACCATTTATTGCACAAACTTAACTGAAAAACAACATGTAGTTTGAGTATTGCCTTATACGCATCCCATCCTTCAAATAAAATGACAAAAAGAAAAACCCGAGTTATAGTTTCTGCCTTTTATCCCAATAATAAAACATTGGTTAAGAATATGCTTTTTAGGATGTTAACTATGTGTCATTCAATTTATTAAATAGGTCAGTATGGTTGAATCTTTATGAATTTTAAAAAGGAAAAAACATTGAAACTCTTGTATTTCTCGTGCTGAAGAGTTAATAAATTAGATAAAGAAAACTACTGACAGAAGAAAGTTGAAAAGAATACTCTAACTTATCTAAGAACCATTTTCTTATCATTAAAACAATTTTGCATAAAGGCTATTAAGTTTGTTATTGATTTTAGTACAGTAAAATAATAATGTTTATTCATTAATTACAAAAAATGTAAAATGTTCTGTAGCTATAAAGATCTGCCTTGAGGGTGAATGGCCAAAGCGTCAGTAACTAAATTCCTAGTAGTCCAGGATTTGAACTAACCTGAATTTTCATTTCATTGTACTCTACTTTTAAGAGAAAGATGCTATGGATACACAAAGAAGCTGTGACACTATTTTAGTTTACACTTTTTAAGCAAATTTCAATTACTCTACAAATATTTAGTATATGCAAGGTATTTTACTACATATGGTGGAGGACACAGATAATGAAAGACCTGTTCCCTACATTCAGGAACTTTATGATTGAGAACTACTACTTCTGATTAAGATGGAGCCACATGGGCTGGAGTCACATTCTTGTCTGAAACAATCTGAAGACCAAAATCACATGTGAACCAATTTCTGAACATTGTTCCTAAACTAACGAAGGACACTGATTTTTTGGGAAATAGGGGAAGTAATCCCTACCACTTCCTCAGCACACTGTGTTGGGATAGTTTCCAGGCCACACTGCAGGGAGTGAGGAACAAAGCAGAGTCCATTAGACTCCTTGAGTAGAGAGAATAAAGCTAAGATCCAGGGGAGACCAAGTCAACTAGAATTGCAGGACACAGGACCAGACAAATAGAGCTTCACAAATTGACAAATCCAGAAATCTGCAATTTCTTTGGCTTCATCAAAATGAAAAACTTCTGCTTTTGCAAGGAGGCTGTTAAGAATATTATAGACAAGCCACAGGTTGGGAGAAAACATTTGCAAAGAGTTTATCTGATGAAAGACTTCTATTCAAAAAATTTGAAAATTCACTAATAATAAAGCAAACAACTCAGTTTTAAAAATATGGAAATATTCCTTATAGATTCTGAATATTTCACCATTGTCAGATGCACAGTTTGTGAAGATTTTCCCCCAATCTGTAGGCTGTCTGTTCACTCTGTTGATAGTTCATTTTGCTTCACAGAAGCTCTTGAGTTTAATTAGGTCCCACTTATCAATTTTTGTTTTTGTTGCAATTGCTTTTGGAGATTTAGCCAAAAATTCTTTGCCAAGGTCAATGTCAAGAAGGGTATTGTCTAGCTTTTCTTCTAGGAATTTTACAGTTTGAGGTCTTACATTTAAGTCTTTAATCTATCTTGAGTTAATTTTTGTATGTTGAAAGGAAGGGACTCAGTTTCATTCTTCTCCATATGGCTAGCCAGTTATCCCAGCACCATTTATTGAAGAGAATCTTTCCCCATTGCTGGCTTTTGTCAGTTTTGTCAAAGATCATATGATTGTAGGTGTGTGGCTCTGTTTCTGGGTTCTCTATTCTGTTCCATTAATCTATGTGTCTGTTTTTGTACCAGTACTGATGGCAGCTGGGCACTGCCTCAAGAGGCTGCTGCCATCACACTGGCCACTGCAGGGAGGGCTTGAGGAGGAGGCACACAGCCCCCTGGGGCCACTGCAATGGGAACAGGCCACATCACCTGCTGGTAGGGGAGCAGCCCGCCAGGAGAGCAATGTGGTTGGGCAGAGAGGGGCCCTGAGGTGGAGCTAGGCCCCAGGTGGGGCTGCACTTGCACACAGAGCACAGGGCCCAGACCCAGGGCTTGGAGCTGGGGCCAAGATTGAGGAGCTGCACCCACTTCAGGAAACCAGCCAGTAGCGTGGGCAGGAGCCCTGACCCCCCCAGGCTAGGATGTGCCTGCTCCCACTGACTGGCCTCTCCCAACTTTCAGCACCTGCTTCCATCTCCGAGTGGGGCTGGGGCCAAGCTCAGGTGCTGTCACAGCCCGGCTGGGTGTGTGCATGCTTGGGCCCTGCTGCCACAGCCCCCTCCAGACTTTGGGCACCAACAAATGCGAGGGTGAGGGAAGCCAAGGAGGGGGGTGAGGGCGGCTTGGCCCTGGCCTGAAGGTGTCACTTGGTACGAGCAGCCTGGGCACTATGAATGATGGCAGAAGGCAGACGGGCTCCTAGGTGGAAGGGGACAGGTCCCCTCTGAGGCCCCAATTCAAGCCAGGGAGGGCCTGAAGGATGGAAGCTGGGCTGCCAGTCCCATGGACCAGATTGGGGACTTGTGGTGCCTTTTCTGGCCTGCCCATGGCCACCCATGGACCAACTGGCATGCACTTCCTCCCCTCTGAGGCCCACAGAAGTCCTGGGCTCAGCCAGAGCAGAGCAGAGGATGGAGAGATGATGGGATGACCAGCCGTAGAGAGGAGCCAAACACTCTAGGGCCTCCTCTCTGCTGAGAGCTGCAGAGATGATGGAATGACCTGCCTGCAGAGAGGAGCCAACCACTCTAGGGCCTCCTCTCTGCTGAGAGCTGTAGATGATAAGACAACTAGCTGGAGAGAGGAGCTCTCTCTGCTGAGAACTGAACACTTGTTGGGAGGACCTGCCTGCAGAGAGGAACTACCCTCTCTGCTAGGAGCTGAACGCTCATCGGGACACCCTGGCTATGGAGAAGAGCTGCCCACTGCTGGTCTTCTCTGAGTTGTTCTATTGCTCAATAAAGCTCCTCTTCATCTGAGTCCTTGTCCTGTGACCAGGAAGAATAAGGTATGCAAACAAGTGAAGGGTGAGCAAGATGAAGAGGAGCTTTATTGCCAAATTAGGTTAATCTAGACTAAAAAAGCTACTGTAACACAAACAGGGCTGAAACATGCCCCCTGCTCACCACATTGCAGGCAAACAGGAGGAGAGAAGAGCTGTGGCCCTAGCAGCTGGGCATGGTGGCTCACGCCTGTAATCTTAGCACTTTGGTACCCTGAGGTGGGAGGGTCACTTGAGGTCAGAAGTTCGAGACCAGACTAGGCAACATAGCAAGACCCTTGTCTCTACAAAACATTTAAAAATTAGCCAGGTGTGGGGGCATGCTCCTGTAGTCTCTACTACTCAGGAGGCTGAGGTGGGAGGATTGCTTGAGTACAACAGTTTGAGGTTATAGTGAGCCAGGTTTACATCACTGCACTTCAGCCTGGGTGACAGAGAAAGACCTTGTCTCTAATAAATAAATGAGAAATCCCCCATAGCTACAGATCCAGACTCATCATTTACAAACCCTGCTTCTGTCTAACTGCAGGAGTCAATTTTGCTATGCTTCTGTCACTACATAACAAGTATACTTCTTTCTCCAGTTTCCAATAACTTGTTCCTCATTTCTTTCTGAGTCCTCATCAGCAGTGTCCTCCAAATCTAGATTTCTACTAACAGTCTGTTCAAACGCTTTAATCTTTTTCATATTCCTCAATATGTCTTATTTTTATGTATTTGTTACAGCAGTATTCCACTTTCAGCTACCAGAATCTACATTCATTTTCTATTGCTGTGTAATATATTGCCATAAACTGAATAGCTTAAAACATACATTAATTATCACACACTTTCCATGCATCTGGACTCTGGGCATGACTTAACTGGGTCCCACAACAAAGTTGTAATCAAGACATTCATCAAGCTGCATTCTCATCTAGAGGCTTGACTGAGGAAGTATCTGCTTCCCAAATCATTTAAGGGTTTGGCAGAATTCAGTTCCTTGTAACTCCCTGACTAAGGGTCCTGGCTTTTTGCTGACTGGAGGGTAGAGGCCACCTTTAAGTCCTAGAGGCTGTCTACAATTCTTTGCCATGTGTGCCTCTCCAACATGACCAATTACTTCATCAAGATTGGAAGGGGAGTCTCTAGCTCTAGCCTGCTAAATACAGACTCACACAACATAATGCAATCACCAGAGTGACATCCCATCCCATCCTAATATTTCCTCTGTCATTTTCTACTGGTTAGAAACAAATCACAGGTACATTCAGGACTCAAGAAGAGAGGATTATGGAAAGGCATGAACACCTGGAGGTAGAGATTACTGGGAGTCATTTTAGGATCTGTTTGCTACTGGTAGAGTTCCTATCTTGGCTCCAACACTTTCCTTCTGTGTGAACTTGAAAAAGTTCTTAATTATACTGTGACTCAGTTTCCTCACTTGTAGAATGAGAAAAATATATATACATATATATGATAATTAAATGTGTATTCATGTAAACAGTATGAAAAATGGTGCAAACTTTGAATAGATTATAGCTATTAATATTATTGTAATTGACAAATAAGTAATAGAAAATCATCAACAGATTTAGAGTAAGGGGTGATATGATCAAAAATGAGATTTAGGAAGGTAGAAAGACAGCATAGCTGCCATGCATTTGAGATAAGGTGTGACAAAGCTTCTGGTAGGAATAGAGTCCCTGTGTTGGACATCCCCAGGAAGCGCTATTCATCCAGAATACAAAGTGAACATTGTTCCTTGTGGTTAAGCAATAGAGACACCCTGACAGGAGGCTCTACCAATAGCCAAGGTAAGGGTTAAAAAAATGGAAAATCAACGAATGAATGAATTTTTATAAATGTGCTATATCCATACAATTCATCCATAAAAAGGAAAGAAGTACTGATACAAGCTACTATATGGATGAACCTTGAAAACAGCATGCTAAGTGAAAGAAGCCAAACACACAAATCACAGATTGTATTAGTCCATTTATATGAAATATCTGGAATAAATAAACCCACAGAGACAGAAGGTGGATTAGTTGTTACCTGGGGCTGTGGGAAAGAAGGTAAGGGGAGTGGCTGCTTAATAGGTATGGAGCTTCCTTTTGGGATGACCATGTTTTTAAGTAGATAGAGATGATAACTATACAACATTGTGAATGTACTGAATGCCGCTGAATTGTATTCCTTTAAGTGGATTAAGTTACATAAATTTTACCTCCTTTTTCAAAAAGAAACCAACAAAAATGAAAAAAAAAGAAGCAGCAGCAATGAAGGCTTGAACTTGGGTATTAGCCATAGGAACAGGTGGAGGAAATGCATAAAATATATAGGGTAGGGGTAGAAACAAGAAAATGTTCAAGAAGTTGTTTGACAGACGGGCAGAAGCAGGCAAGACAGAGACGCTAGAGTTGACTTTGGGGCTTGGGGCTGTGTAACTCAGAATATGGATCAATGTCTCAGCCTTTAACAAGGCCTCAGGTCAGAGTTTTTGGGTTGAAAAAAAGAAACCTTTAAGGCTTCAACCCACTGTTATCTGATATTTAAAATCAATGCCAAGTAGTCATCTAATTTATACCAAGGAATATGATTTTTTTAAAAAGTGGGGCTGAGGCCAAATGTGACATAACAGCAAGAAATGTGATGGAAGAAAAATGTAAGGATAACTGTTAATCATATATCTACTTATAAGGTAGCTACTTGATACAGCAATTTGTATGCATCATCTCCTGGAAACCTTACAGCAACTTGTAAGTCATGTGAGGTAGACACCTGCTCTTTTTCTGCTCCTATTTTTCACTTGCTATTGAGGATCTGCTAGCCATTTTAATTCCATTTTTAACTCCATGTGATTTAAGTGGAACTAAGCCTTCCCACAACCCACTTTCAGACCTAGAAACCCATATCACGCAAGAGTACCCAATCCCCACTGATCATGGCCATAGTAACAGATTCATGAATGGTCAGAGCATCCAGCCAGAATGAAGTCTTTTATAGGTGTTGTGCTTGCCTGGTGAGTAGAAGGTATGCACTATTCCTCTAGGATGAATAGCTAAAAAGATAAAACTATATATGCCAACAGCCATCTTTCCTGCTATGTCTGGGAAGTCTACCTAAGAGTAAAATCAACCCACAGGAAAGTTTAGCCGAAAGATAAAAGGTCTCTACAGAATACTTATGACATTTGTTCATCCTCTAGACCCACCACCTGAAGCCAGACTATGCCTTGACTCTTCAGTTATAAAAGCAAACACATCAATTCTCTCTCCCCTATTAATTTTGCTTGAGCTCTATTTTCATCACTTGCTGATCTGGTCTGAAAAGCTGGAGTTCTGGCCAGGTCTTTGAGGTAGAAACGTAGCAAGAGCAAAAAGACACAGCTTCTCCTCCTGGCCAGAACTCCACTAAACTCGTTCTTTTTAGCTATTCCCACTATTCCTACTACTTCCTATTACAAATGCTATAACTATTACTACTAAAATACTACTCTTTTCACTACAACTATTACTACTAAAATTATATAACTATTATTACTAATAACACTTCTACTTCAACTAATCATAGAATTCTTGATTGAAAATGGAAAACATTGTGCTACTCACTTACATCTGCAATCTTTACAAAAGCCCTGAGATACTGTCACTGGCCTACTTACAGATGAGGAAAGTTGCACCCAATAGGCCAAATTCACAATGGTATTTTGAACCTGTGTTGAATGGCTCAGTGTGCTTCTTGTTGCTGACAACATATTGGTCTTTCTAAGGGAACTGGCTACCCACATCCCTGCCAAGTGACAGAGATGGACGGAATCACCATGGCTAGTATCACAAGACCTTCGTTCCATCATCCAACCATGATTGAATCAAGGATGGACACCTGATTCAAGGATGAAAAGTTAGCAACTACATAGAAACTTGCAGCCTTGCACACAAATGTAACAGGGCCTTTATCAGAAATTTACAGAAGCAAATAGCTGAAAAGCATTTAGCTATTGGTAGCGTCGGAAGCAGAAAGGATGCCCAGAGGTAAAGTTAAGACCAAGGCAAGCCTCCCTTGCAGGGAGGAATTATAAGGAAGCAAAAAATATGAATAACTAGAGGACACTCACTAGTCAGCAGAGAGTAGAGAATGAAATAGGTTCACAGACAGCAGAGATGCCATTACAAACAGAAAGCAGGCGGCCCTGAGGGAGCACAGAAGAATAGCTGGCTGCTGAAGTTGCTGTGGTTTCTGATGACTGTTGGTTTTGAATAATTCACTTTTATTTTTACAATTTGAGGTGTTTGAAGGAGATCACTGTTTCTTACAACTAAACAAACTTGGTTAGAATTCTCAGCGATGAGATGGAACATTGGGAACAGGAAAAGCAAATCATAGTGACATTAATAAAGATTTCACTTCAAAGTTAGTTGGAACTCCGCCCACCCCCGTCCACCAGTAGCTATCACAGGGAATAGTATTAGTAGCAGAGCTTTCTGTGGGCTAAGTATGCAGGTATGAAGTAGGGGGTCTTAAAGCAGCCAGGAAAGAGAGCCAAGCAAGTAACTTGTGAGCTTCCACAACTGTCCAAATACTGCCTTCAGTTTTTCTATGTAATGAGATGTCCTTGATGTTCATAAAAAATTCTACCAGATCTTAACCTGGGAAATGTATACCAGACTCTCTATAAAGCAGAAAATGGACCTTTAAAAAATTCAATAATCAGGGTCTGGAGGATATTATCCCATGAGTAATTCAAAAACACCAAACATCCTGAATGTCCATAGAACTTCAAATTCCACTTTTCAGTGGAGTTCTCCTGGATGCACGTTAAGCTTGAGCCTGTGCCAAAAGAACAAACTGAAATCATTCAGAGGGTGACATTGTGGAAGGGCAGGAGCAGACTTACTCCAAACGGACTCTAACTCCAAAAGGCACCAATGCCTTAGGTTATTAACTTCAGCTGAATCATTTTTATGCCATGTTTCTTACTCTAAGTTCTGTAAGGGGAAACCTTAGTACTCAACATGTCCTTTACCTCTTTTGCCTTTCCATTTACAGACACTCACCCCAGGGAAGAGTTATTTGGAAATATCCTTGCTCCCCAGGCATATGCAGGGAAAATATGTAGGGTGGGGAGTATTCAACAGCTGAGTGCTCTGCTGTAACACAAAGGCTGTCTGGGTGAAACATAGATTGGTTTTCTTGAGATTGGATCATTCCCTAAACAGAATTTCACTATATGAAAAGAGCAATGCATTCTCCTGTGACAGTCTGGACTAGGCAATAATATACTCTGTTGCCATGGTTTCAAAAATACTAGTGAAAGAAAGAAATAAGTATTTTGTGATGGATACAACACCTGCGTGTCAAACAAATATCTCAAAATTATTTGTGCAACTTGAGCATCAAGTTATAATAAGAGGAGAAAAAATAATAAATCAAAAAGGATTCTCTTCCCATAACTAATTTCTTATAATTTTTTTCAACAAAATGTCATTGTGTGGTATGTTTTTATCTATCGCTTTTTTATATGCATCTCTTTTAAATAGTTCTAAGTACTTAAATATGTACACTCTAAAATAAAGCAATAAGATCCATGAAATTGCATTATCATATCCTCCAAAAGAATTGAGGTGAGGTAAAGTTGAATTAGAGTGAGTTACAAGTACTAAATATGCTGCTTTTCATGGCAAAGTTATTTTGATATACACCTAAGTTTCAAATACACAGAGGAAAAGCAATCCAGTAATAGATTCCAGAGAACATATCCTGGTCAGAAACAGAACATTGCAAAGTCTCATTCCCAGTGAGGGTGGAGGGTAAGACGGGAGAGCAGTACTTAAAATTCTGCTTAAGGGAAGCATCATGCACTAGAAAACATTGTCTTCATCAAGAAGTGAAGTATCAAGGCCCAAATATGTCAGTGACTCAAATCAGAGAGGGGAAAAATCCTTCTTTAGGAGGAAGCAAATTAAGGGCTTTTAATTAGCCAATTTATTTGACGCTGACATAACACACCAGGGCTTAAAGTACTAGGGAGTGGAGAAAATATGAGAACATCATCAGTGGAAATATTTGTTTTATGGTTCTCCTCCACTTATGCCTCCCTAATTTCTGCTATTCTATTAAAAGGTCTTTAAGAGGGATGACTAAATCAAGGGGGCAAACCTTCAATATGTTGTTGGCATACCAATAATTATACTAACAACAATAATAACAGTAAATTTATTCACTGAACTGCTGAGCACCAAGGTAAGTGTTTACATTTCAGGGTCATTCATACCTCTGAAATATTCTACAAGGTGGAAATAATTATATCTGCTTTAAAGTTTTCAGTCTCATTGTGACTACACTAAAACTGTAAAGAATACATAAAACTGCTCACATCATCCCCGATCTCAAAGAATATAATATATAATAAGGTAAAGATGATATGTGTACATAGGATATCTAAAAAGTACAATCAATAAGAAAATTCTGGACCATAAACATAATAGTACGACAATAACTATGAATATTTTGTAGATCTTTGTTTGCTCTTGAGTCAGCAAAACTTCAGCTCAGACCTATCAGGCAAACACGTGTCTGCACTCTGTTCAGTAATGCTGACCAACTCATTCTTCCTCTCCACATCTCATTAAAGGCGGCTAATAAATACCCTTTCTCAGCATCTTGGATCATTTCTTTCAGAAGTATACATTATCTACATTTCATTTCACATCCATCAGATGGACGGGTTTTTTTTTTTTCAATTAATATAGTTGATGACCTCAAATTCACTCTTGAAAAGTCATTATGTTTTCTCTTGCCATTAAATAGATAATCAAAGGAAAGAGTGGTTTTATGTGATGTTCTGTCTCTTGTTTCGCTTTAATGTTCTTAGTTGATGCTCACAATACCTCATGAGTTTCATTTGAACAACTTTCAAATGTTCCATCTTATATGTTAAGAACTTTGTAGATTTTCTAGCCCCAGGTTTATATTTTATACATTGTGAAATTGATGAGTGCCTAATAAAGTCCTAGGTCGTGAACCTAGGTGTCATAAATTACTGTTCATCCACAATTCATCCAATATTTACTCAGGACCTATTATATGCTGAGTACTTGCTAAGGGCTGAGAATACAGTGGCAGACAACACAGCTTTGACTCTGTGTCCAGGTGCTTACAGCCTAGTATGAAATAGGAACAATTTGAATTGTATTTGAATACTATCTATCTGTACACATTATACATATATTTAAAGCTACTATGTTGATAACAAGAAGGTAATAGTCCTAATATAAGGTCTGTTACTTAAAGCATGTCTCTATGTGTCAGATTCTGTGATGTTATGTTTATTATCTTGTCTAATTCTTATAATAGTCATGTAAGACATTTACCACTTCTCCCATTTTATATATGAAGAACTTGAGACTTAGGTGGATCAAGCAACATGCTCATGGTCAAATAGATAATGACTGGAACGAATGCATGTCTAATTCCAAAGTCTGAATATTTCCACTGTACTATGCTTCTGAGATCTCTTAATGCTATATTTCTAATCTTCCCATGGATATTGATAAATAAAAGATACAGACTATGCCTATGGTCAAAAATAGTGACACCATGGCTGGGCGCAGTGGCTCACACCTGTAATCCCAGCACTTTGGGAGGCTGAGGCAGGTGGATCACGATGTCAAGAGTTCGAGACCAGCATGGCCAACATGGTGAAACCCCGTCTCTTCTAAGAACACAAAAATTAGCCAGGCTTGGTGGTGTATGCCTGTAATCCCAGCTACTCGGGAGGCTGAGGCAGGAGAATCGCTTGAACCTGGGAGGCAGAGGTTGCAGTGAGCCGAGATCATGCCACTGCACTCCAGCCTGGGCGACAGAGCAAGACTCTGTCTTGGGAAAAAAATAATAATAATGACACCAATGCTTCAGCACTTTAAAAACCACAACAATTAAAAAATGCATTTTGAGATGTTTGGGTCACTTGGCCAAGTTTTGAAAGTGCAAGCACTCTAGAGTTGGGGTGAAGCAGTGAACATGCAGGGTACCTCAATTCTTCCTAAAAGTGAATGGCAGGGTTATGTAATGGAAGAAACCACAGACTTGGTTTTAAATGTCAACTTTTTCCTTCTCTCATTACATAGCTTAGTCACGCTTCTTGCAAACTCATAGATTCAGTTTTCTCTGATATAAAAATGCAGTTTATGCCCCTTCTCTTAAAAGATTGTGGTGGATATTGAATGAGATCAGAAATGCATCATGCCTAATGTAATGCCAGGTATAGTGGACATGTAATAAGGGTTCATTCCCTAAACTGGGTCAATATATAAAATCAGAAGGCTATTAAAGATGGGTTGCACCAGAAGAAATGCTGTCACAGACGCTGGGAGTCATGTCTTCTGAATGATGACCTTATTCCTTTGAAGAACAATGGGCATAAAAAGGAGAAGTTGGAGTAGAATTAAAATTTTTAGCTGGATGAAATTATTTACATCCTTGCTTCTAACTAAGAAAGAAAAGCCCTGCTCTCCCTTTTAAAAGTAAAAAGGCAATATTAAAGGTGATAGGCAGAGGAGATAGGATAGTGTTAACCGTGACAGAGGACCTTCACCAGCACTCTTGACTTCACCATTTACCTATACATCTCATCTCTACCTCATCACAAAAGTAAGACTGGTCTTCTGATCGGAGTGTGCAAACAGCATGTGCAATGTCCAGTCCAGTTAGGGGCTGCAGAGGGGCCACAGCAACATCCCTGTCCCAGAATATCTCTGCCAGAATCTGTTCTTGAAAGGGAAGGTGAGTCCACTTTAGTAGTACAGAGTACAGTTATCTCACTCATTGTTCACAGTAGTACAGAGTACAGTTATCTCACTCATTGTTCACAGGCAAATCAGCCTCTTCCTCTTTCAGAATCCCCAAATATCTGTACTTTAAGAACTGAGATGGCTACAGAGCTGTCCTCTTACATACATAATGGGCATTTAGACATTAAAACAAGGACATGAAATAGATGAAGGATAAACTGAGGTTCCCTTCAGTCCACACAGCATCTCCTTATTTTGGGGCTCTCATTCTCAGGAGAAATTGACTTTTTTAAGTGTGACAGTTTACCAAGGAACTTGTATAAGCCAAACATGTATTATCTCTGAGCCACACACCAACTCTGCAGAGTAAACCTTATTTTAGATGAGGAAATGGAATCTCAAAGAAGTAACTACTCAAGTCACAAATAAATAATAAATGGGAGAGCTGAATTTGGAACACAAGCCTGTTTGAAGCCCATGCCAGGTCAACCTGGATCCCTCATCTGACTGGAAGCGAAGATACTTGATAGATCCTATTCACTGATAGATCTTCAGAGCCCGATATACTCCAAGTGAATTACTGCAGATTAATTTTATCGCTTGAGAGAATGGCAAATGCCAGACAACGGAGGTGGGTTGAGCCAAAGCACGAAGCTGAAACATGATTTCACTGAATGCTAAATATTAAGGCATTTGTATCCTTCTGTGTCCAACCCAGTAGTAACAGAGCCTCCTCATGAGCACATCAAAGCAGGACTCATTTGTACCTTTTATTAAATTCAAAAGCAAAACTAGAAGCTGAAAAATGCATTTCCCATGTTGAAAAATGCTTTTGCTTTACAACAGCCTGTTAATAAAACTGCACATTGTCTCAAAAGCCCCTGTGTAGACCTACCCAGTATGATTAAAAGAAATTTGGAGAACACAGGCAACATCTTTAAATATTTAAATGATTAAAATAAAAATTAAAAATGGATTTCCTTTCAATGAAAGGTTTTAAATTGAATCCATAAACCATGTTTGATTTCTTTCTTTTTTTTTTTTTTTTTGAGACGGAGTTTCGCTCTGTCGCCCAGGCTGGAGTGCAGTGGCGCGATCTCGACTCACTGCAAGCTCCGCCTCCCGGGTTCACGCCATTCTCCTGCCTCAGCCTTCCGTGTAGCTGGGACTACAGGCGCGCGCCACCATGCCCGGCTAATTTTTGTATTTTTAGTAGAGACGGGGTTTCACCGTGTTAGCCAGGATGGTCTCGATCTCCTGACCTCGTGATCCGCCCGTCTCGGCCTCCCAAAGTGCTGGGATTACAGGCGTGAGCCACCGCGCCCAGCCACCATGTTTGATTTCTAAAGCTAGCAGGAATGCATGTTAACTATTAAAGATGTTTAACGTGAAAATGTGTATTCAATAAAAAATAGATGACTCATTTTTATATGTGGTTTTCAATTTGTTTTGTTGGATCCAATCTTCTATTGGAAATGCAAGCAAACTACCTTAAGTTTTCAAAATCAATGAGTAATAGTAAGTTCCATCAATTTTAAAAGAGAAAGGAATCTGTTTCAATGTTATCTCCCTGGGTACAATAACTTTTAAGAATCAGCAAATAAATATTTTTTAGCAGTTACTCTGCATTTAGTTCCTTGCCAGGTGTTGTACATACTGCAGGAAAAAAAAAAAAAAAAAGGATAATATGGATCCCTGCAGGAGCCTGCACTTTAAATGAGAAGATGCAGGCTAAGATCTGAATCCTGAGTATAGTAAACACTACTTTAGGAGCCCAAAAAATGGTCTGTAATGAGAGATGATCTTGTTAAAGAAGATGCTGTGATATAAGAAGGTCTTGGATAGAGAAGCCAGATTGAGAGGTGATGGCTTCAGAAGGGTCATTTTTGTGCCACCTGGTCCTCCTGGGTAGAGACAGTTTATGTGGAACAGATCTTTAATCCTCTGTAAACCACAGGAGACAGAGCAGAAGCTCTGAGACACGTAAACACTGCTCAAAGAAGTTTCTCATCCTCACAAACAGCCTTCAGCAGTATGATGTGCCCACTTTGGTGTAGTAAGGATATGCCACTCCTCAACCTAAGGCAATTTGGCACTGTGAGAGAACACAAAAGAAGCATGGTTTAAACCTTAGATGCATAAAATTGTTTCCCTTTGAAAGGATTAGAAGACAACTTGGAATAATTTCTATTTCATGACTCACTCGTATGTAAACATATGTGTGTGCACACACACACACACACATACATACACACACAGTTTACAGGTACACATCCAAAAATCTAAAACTTCCTAAGTAGTGATTTCCAAAACTGTTCCATGACCTGTGCCAATCTGGCTATATAAATATCACTGGGGAAATATATAGTATATTCCTGAATATTCCTGGTCCAAACGCTGTAGAGCTGTAGAGTGGTGCTTTGGAGTTTGCGTTTTTTTATCAACAATCCTCAGGTTGTTTGGATTTAGCAAAGTTTAGGAGCCACTGCTCTATCTCTTCTTGAGTAGATAAGCCTCCACCTTTGTTGAAGCAATCCTATTAATGGAGTGTTCACTATGGCACAAGGTATTAGTGCTGACCATTTCAAATACATCAAAGAGTTTTCTATGTACACCACCAAATTTTGCAACTTTTACCTAGCAGCTTCATTTTAGGTCTGTGAAATAAGCCTGTTATTTACTTCATGAAAGTATTCATAAATTTTTATAATCAGTCAGATATTTTTATAATCACTTGATTCTTCTCTTCTTAAGCTGAACAGCCCCAGCCATTTTTAAATTTCCTGTGATAAGTAGTTTCCAGGGACTTCATCATCCTAGACACCTGACTGTGGGTAGCTGTGGTTTATTGGTATCTTTCTTCTCACTCACTCTATACTCTCTCCCAGGGTGATTTCATGCATATGACTTATTTATCACTAACTATGACTTGCAAATATTTATCTCTACCATAGCTCTCTCATACCCCAAAGGCCTACTAGAAATCCTTTCAGATGTATTTAATTCATCATGTCTAAAACTGAACTCATCATTTTTCCCCAAACTCATTCCTCCCCCTCCTCTTCCTCCTCTTCTTCCTGCTCCACCACCTCCCCATGCTTCTGCTTCTTCTCGCCTCCTCCTCTGTTCTTTTTCTGTTTCCTATCCAGAAACTAGAATCACCATCCACTTTGTTGCATGTCGGGCCCTGGGAGACCTCTGGGTCATTTCCTTCTTTCTCACCTCTTATGAAATAGGTGATCAAGTCCCATTTACTCTACCAACTAAATATTCTGAGTCATTATCCTTCATCCCCATCATTCCTGCTTAACTTTAGGCCTCAAAGAGAACAATATCTTAAATGTCCTTCCTAGCCCATCATGGTCACTCTATAATCAATTTCCCACACCGATACCAGAGATATTCCCGAAATGCAATGCAATCATGGCACTCTTCTGTTTACAACTGACTGAGAGATCTCAGTTACCAGACAAAGCCTAAGCTTCCTGGGGTGGCAAATAAGGTCCTCATTCTCTGGCCTCATCTTTCCTCAGGCTGCACATATTCTAGGCTTTAGAAACAGCTTTTCTAATATTCCTACTTTACTTTTATTTTCTCTCTCCCTTTTATCACACTGTTTCTTCTATGCCTTCCTCACCTATGGTTTGCTCAAGAAACTTCTACTCTCCCTTCAGAGCTCAACTCAGGCTTCTCCTCTCTCAGTAATCCTCCCTGTGCTTCCCTCCACTCTGAGTCGGGTTCTCCTTCAGGTTCCCATGGAACCCTGGGCTCCATCATGGCTTTTATTTTCACACCTGTCTTGCCCACTAAGTGGCGAACTCCCTAAGTCAAGGACCATTTGACGTTCATGTTTGTATTCCCGTTTACAGAGAATGTTCAAAGATGAAAACTAAAGTTTGTCTCTTCAATCCCAGGCCAACATTTTTTGTTCTATTCTTCAGGGTACCACCACCACCAGCTTGGGAAAATTTCTAAGATAAATACCCACATCCACTTGAAATACTAATAGCTGACAGCTACAAGACAGAATCTAGAGGAGTTTCCAAAAGCTCAAACAATGTAAACACCAGGAAATTTGTACATAGAGAGGAATATACAATATAAATAGTAACTTTCAAAAGCCTGAATCTCCTGACCTCAAGCCAGAAGTGCCACATACTGATTGCTGATAGGTAAGGAGGCCAGTTCCCAACATGAATGTCATTCAAGCCCAAGGGTGTAAAAGCTGTTGATTTTGATATATTGTTGACAAAGGGGTGGTTAGCTGGTGTCCCTGACCAGGCAGCATGTTGCCCAGTGCCCCAGAATGGCATAGGTTACATCTCACCTGACAGAGGGGTCTCCGCCCACAGGAACACAGGTCTGTGTGCAGAGCAGGGTCATTTTTCCAGTTGGCAGATGGTGCCATAGAAGCATCACAAAAAGCTTGCTCCAGGGCCTTAAATACAGCAAAATTAATTAAAACACGTTTTTAAGAAGTTCTGAAACAGTAAATTATGACAATTCATTTAAAAAAAAAAACTCACCTATATGGAAAAACAGATGGTAAATTTAAAAAGCAATTAAATTTGTTTTTTAAACTCACTAAATTTAAAGATTATGGACACGTATTAACTTATTTCTTCCTTTATTCTATTTTTTTTCAAATTCTGAATAAAATATTGCAAAATAAAACTAGCTCTGTAATGGACACCAGCAGACTGCTCACTCAACATTAATATTTCCTCATTTACGACATGAAAAGCCTGAGCTACAGTAACTCTCACACTGACACTAAGCTTATGTTTATATATTTAAAGCAAACTTGATTATAATAGCAAGGATTTATTTCATTAAGTGTGTCCTTTGTACCAGAAACATTTTAAGTGTTCAAATGCATTATTTCAATTAATCCCTATAATAGCTATTATCATAATTTCACAGATGAGTAAACTGAGGCAGAGAGAAAATATATTACATATGTTGTCCCAACTATTAAGTGGCTAGGCGGGGCTTTGACCACATAAGTTTTTTATTGTATTTTATTTTTTGAGACAGTCTCCCTCTGTCACCAAGGCTGGGTGCAGTGGCATGATCTCCACTCACTGCAACCTCTGCCTCCTGGGTTCAAGTGATTCTTCTGCCTCAGTCTCCCGAGTAGGTGGGACTACAGGCACGTGCCACCATGCCCAGCTAATTTTTTGCATTTTTAGTAGAAATGTGGTTTCACCGTGTTAGCCAGGATGGTCTCGATCTCCTGACCTCGTGATCCACCCATCTCAGCCTCCCAAAGTGCTGGGGTTACAGGTGTGAGACACTGCGCCGAGCCGACCACAGGATTTTTAACAAGAGAGGCTGCAGTCTTAGCCAACACCCTCTCCTACCCCAACCCCTTGCTTCTGATAACTCTAAAAACCAAAGCTAGCTGGTATGTGGTAGTTCCTATTGATCACTCTGCTAACGACCTGTCCAATAGCAAATTGGCCTATGCAAGAGCCACAACACACAAAACACATCAGCCCGAGCTTTCAGGTATAATTTTTTCCATCTTCTTCCACAATTTGTACTCACACTGTGAAACTGACCCAGGTAGTTCACCTACTTCACCAGCCTGTTGTCTAGATGTTGGTGGGAAATTTTTTTTTCAGTAGTAATATTTCAAAGCCTGACTTCTATCTCCTTTGGGAGGTTATTGATTTCTTAGGAGCATTAGTAATTTATAATCCTGAGCAAACTAGCAGAATTAAGGAAAAAAATTATTTCAATGCTCTTGGAAGAATCGATGAAACAGTTTAAGACATTGGAATGCAAATTTAAATATACTCACTTTACCCCTGAGTAGCTCATACCTTTAAGGGAAACATAAATGTAAGGAAATAAACATTTCCTGATGAGTCAAAACAAATATGTTTTCCTCATCTTTGCAGTTTCTCTGTGTTAAACGAATTAACCAAGGATGTTCTGAATATCAACTGCACTTAACAATAAGAAAGACACAGAAATGTCACACCCACCCTCCAAGGGGCTGACAGTGGGGGTGGCATCCTGTGATAGTTTGTACATAAAGGCTACAGCAAACTGTGGTGGAAAGGAAACCAGATTAGGAGTCCTGCGATTAGGGGTCTATTTACTATTTCTGTAAAGACTTTTGTAAACATGTAGACAGTGTGTATCTGAGTGGCATTGCCTTACCAACTCCAGGGACACGTTTGCAGTGGAACTCACTAACCTGGCTGGATTTTATTGAACACTTATGTCATGTCATCCTCATTGTCTGCCCCACCCAACAATCAAAACTTCACTACCAAAAATGACATTAGGGAAAGGCAAGCAGAAAACTTCTTGGCTAGTGAGAAGAATATTCAAAGGCAACAATAAGAATTGCATTTCTAAAATGATATAGTCCTTTGGCCACAAATGGATCTTATTCTCATTTTTGACTGTGAGATTTTAGGACTTGTACACAGTATGTATGTTCATCTGAGATGTTCTGCGAAATGGTAACCATAGCCACATGCTTCATACAGAGAAAGTTATTCAAGCGGCAGGATCCTCCTGTGCAAAATTACCAATGCTCATACCATTGTCTGTGAGAGTCAACTACAGGATATGTAGGAATGAAATCCCTTTAGAGGATTTGAGAACTGGTGGGATAATAATGAGGAGAGGCAGAGTCTAACCGTGGCTCAGTCACCAGGTGGACAGCATGAGAAGCCATTGGAATTTGTCTCTTTTATCTAAAAGGGATAACAACTTCTGGCCCACCTGCTCCATGAGCTGTAGGCAACTCCTACAGAAAGCCTCTTAATGGTCCTCCATGACTGTAGATTCCTCCCCTTCTGGTCCACCCTACACTTGCTGCCAGAGGAAGCATTTTGAAATGCACATTTACTGTGACTTGCTCTTGACTTTTTTCTGTTTCGTTTGTCTAGCTAATTTCTACTCATTTCTTAGGTTCAAGCTGAGACAACACTTCTTTCCAAAAGCCCCTTCTGGTCTCCCAAGTCTAAGTCTCTCCTGAGTGCTTCCACAGTATCCCATTCAAGGTACACAACCCACAATATTGGGTATGTTCATTTTCACAGCATGGAGAAAGTCCAGCTTCCATGGACTCCATGCTTGTGGTGGGCAGAGATGGTGCCTTTTTCTGCTTGTCACCAGAACCTGTCAGACACAAGGTTTATAGCTAACAATGTATGGATGTTCACAAGTCTGGAACTATTCTAAATGCTTTATATATAGTATCTTAAATTAATCTTACAATATTTTAATGTGAGTGCTATTCTTTTGTCAAATTTTCAAATGAGAAAACTGGAGCAATGAGAGGTTAAAAAACGGTTCCGTTGGTTGCAGAGCTTGCAGGTAGCAGAAAATGGATTTGAGCCCAAGTGGTTTGGATACAGGTTCTTCCTCCTAACCTCTACTCTTTGTCAAATGCAGAGTAGGGGTTCAAAGGAAGGACCCATGCTCAACAAATATTGGTAAAGGGAGGAATGAAGAAGGAAATAAATGAATTAATTAAAAACCTCCAATAGCATCTTATTATATTCAGGATAAATGAACCACTATCATGGCAAATACAATTCTGTGAAATCTTGCCTCGCTCATTCTCCAATCTCAGTTCTTGTCACTCATTAACATGGATCTTGAGCCCCAGTTATATACATCTTGCCTCTATGAGTTTTTCTTTTATTTATTTATTATTATACTTTAAGTTCTAGGGTACATGTGCACAATGTGCAGGTTTGTTACATATGTATATATGTGCCATATTGGTGTGCTGGGCCCATTAACTCATCATTTACATTAGGTATATCTCCGAATGCTATCCCTCCCCACTCCCCCAACCCCACAACAGGCCCCCTTCCTGTGTCCAAGTGTTCTCATTGTTCAATTCCCACCTATGAGTGAGAACATGCGGTGTTTGGTTTTTTGTCCTTGCGATAGTTTGCTGAGAATGATGGTTTCCAGCTTCATCCATGTCCCTACAAAGGACATGAACTCATCATTTTTTATGGCTGCATAGTATTCCATGGTGTATATGTGCCACATTTTCTTAATCCAGTCTATCATTGTTAGACATTTGGCTTGGTTCCAAGTCTTTGCTATTGTGAATAGTGCCCCAATAAACATACGTGTGCATGTGTCTTTATAGCAGCATGATTTATAATCCTTCGGGTTTATACCCAGTAATGGGATTGCTGGGTCAAATGCTATTTCTAGTTCTAGATCCCTGAGGAATCGCCACACTGACTTCCACAATGGTTGAACCAGTTTACGGTCCCACAAACAGTGTAAAAGTGTTCCTATTTCTCCACATCCTCTCCAGCACCTGTGGTTTCCTGAGTTTTTAATGATTGCCATTCTAACTGGTGTGAGATGGTATCTCATTGTGGTTTTGATTTGCATTTCTTTGATGGCCAGTGATGATAAGCATTTTTTCATGTATCTGTTAGCTGCATAAATGTCTTTTTTTGAGAAGTATCTGTTCATATCCTTGCCCACTTGTTGATGGGGTTGTTTTTTTCTTGTAAATTTGTTTGAGTTCATTGTAGATTCTGGATATTAACCCTTTGTCAGATGAGTAGATTGCAAAAATTTTCTCCCATTCTGTAGGTTGTCTGTTCACTCTGATGGTAGTTTCTTTTGCTGTGCAGAAGCTCTTTAGTTTAATGAGATCACATTTGTCAATTTTGGCTTTTGTTGCCATTGCTTTTGCTGTTTTAGGCATGAAGTCCTTGCCCATGCCTATGTCCTGAATGGTATTGCCGAGGTTTTCTTCTAGGGTTTTTATGGTTTTAGGTCTAACATTTAAGTCTTTAATCCATCTTGAATTAATTTTTCCATAAGGTATAAGGAAGGGATCCAGTTTCAGCTTTCTACATATGGCTAGCCAGTTTTCCCAGCACCATTTATTAAATAGGGAATCCTTTCCCCATTTCTTGTTTTTGTCAGGTTTGTCAAAGATCAGATAGTTGTAGATGTGTGATATTATTTCTGAGGGCTCTGTTCTGTTTCATTGGTCTATATCTCTGTTTTGGTACTAGTACCATGCTGTTTTGGTTACTGTAGCCTTGTAGTATAGTTTGAAGTCAGGTAGCTTGATGCCTCCAGCTTTGTTCTTTTGGCTTAGGATTGACATGGCAAAGCAGGTTAACTCTATTACCGGGATGCCCTTGTGACATCCTGACCAACTCTCACTCAGTTGATTTTATGTCTTTGAAGGAAGCCTGGGTTAGAATGCCATCTCCTGCACACCCACTGTCATGCTGTACCTAACTCTACCCTAACAACTTCTAGAAAGTTTGCAAATGTCTTTTTACTTATCTACTTCTTACAGAAGACTATGAGCTTCTCTGGGGCAGGGACTGTGTTGGACTAGTTTCTCTATCTTAGTTTCTAGCTTGATGTCTGGCACTAAAAGGCTCCAAAGAAATGCTTGCTGTGTGAATGAACTAAATGTTCTTTGTATATTTGCCTTCAAATTTCTCAATGTTCCTCTTTAATCATTACATGGTTGTGATGAAGTCCTTAAAGGATGCCTTCTCTAATCCCCCAACTCTCCGTCCAATGTGTACTGCCCATTAGGAGAGAGCCAGGAAGCAAGAAATGTCCTTGCTCCTGAGGAAAGGTAGAAAACCAGCACTGTTCTTAGGCCACTCAGGAGACAGATGTCAAGAGTTTCACTGGAGGGGTACTTAGTGAAAGAACAACCATGCATTTCCTTGAGTATCTATGTCCTTCAGGAGCAAGAGGAAGGTCACTCTGCCCCTGAACAATTACTTCTGGGGCATTCCTATGGTCATGAAAATAACCCTAACTGAGAACAAAACATTTCTTACAAAGATGAAAAGTAAAGCTTAATATATCATGTGAAAGCGAATTCAATTGCTTACTAATTCATAGTAAATAGCAAGGTCTCTTGGAAAAAAATTGTCAACTACAGGCCAATTATAATAGCACAAGAAGGTGCCAATTTACCAACTGAATGTTATATAATTGCACCATATTCCTCAAGATAGGTGCTATGACCCATTTACAGGTGAGGAAATGAAGCTCAGAAAGACTTAGCTTCTTGCCTGAGTCACACTGCAAGTCCAAACGTATCCACCTCAAAATCCTATGCTCTTTTCACTGCACCATGCTGCAAGATGCTCTGGAAAGGCGTCTGTGAGAAGGGAGAAGAAAACATGAGGCCACCAATCCATGAGAAGCCATGGAAGATGAGGAGGAATACTTCTGGCAGTGGAGGAAGAAAACTCACACACGTGAGTTGGGACTTTATCTCCAAGTTGTGCTAAGTTTAGTGTTTCACCCTGGAGGTATCCTACATCCAGGCTCTTTTCCCATATGTGGTTACTATGTAAGCCTGAGCCAAGGAAGCATCTCATACCAGCACACAGGAAAAGATACCCTGCTTCATCACAAAGGCCCAGATTGACAGGCATTGTCAGCAAAAGCAGGAGGCTGATTCTGAGTGTCTATCCTCTTTGCCCGGTGATGTCTTCAGGTTAAATTTGCTTCAAATACTTGTCTTCAGTCTTAAAGGACTCCGAAACAGTCCTGAGAGCAGCATACTACCCAGTTAGGACCAGGTTGCAAGGAATGGCACTTCTATTGCTATGATGACTGGTCTACCAATGTGGACATGAAAGGGTATGGGAAAGGCCAAGGGGTAAACAGGAGACATCTTAGCAGATCTTCAGCTATGTTGGGGTCCTGAACCCACACCTGCTACAGGGGCTGGGTATTGCAGGGCTCTCAGATCACATTTCCAAACCATGCAATAAAGGAGAAAAATACATGTGCTCTGGAGCTAAACATTTGCTTCTATCTAGGTTTGTATGCTTACTATTGTGATCTGAGGAACATCACCTAACCTCACTCTGTCTTAGCTATTCAACTACAAAAACAATTATTGGCAGGATTGTTGCAAAGGGAAACACACTGTAGGTACACAACATGCTTCAGATGTTTTATATTGTTTCCCAGTCCCAGAAATCTCCATGGAATAGAAATGCGCAATTACTCTTACATGCTAATGCCTGTAAGACAAGAGATAAGGAAATAAAGTGCATACATGTATCTCTCATCTCAGATCTGCCAAATGACATTGTAATTAATTGTATGCAAGCCTCTTTCACTCAGTGAACTGGGAGTTCTTTAAAGTTATAAGCTGTGCATATCTGTGTCCTAGGGCCTAGCACTAAGTCTGGCATGATGTGGATGCCAAATAAGTGTTTGATATATGAAAGTACAAATGAACCAAAGAACCAGTGATGCCATCTGGACCAGAGAAGGTCTGCCTCAGACTCGGGTCCCACACTGAGCACACCAAGCTTTGCCCTTCTGAAGGATAAATTGGGCTAGTACCAATTAGCTCACTAAACAAATATTTCTCCATTGAAGCACATGTTTGCTCTCCCATTTCACTCTGTATTTACTTATTCATAGCCCATAAAAAGCAGTTAGCTGGAAACATTCATGTTTCCTCATTACATTCCCCAAAGTGGGAGGTTGTTTTCCTCTCATGTAGCATTTTTCCAGTGTGTGAAAATCTCTGGCCTCAAAGCACACTTGTGGGAACCCATAATTGAGTCTGAGATCATCCAACAGCAGCAGAAAGCTCTTACAGCCCCGAGAGCCTCAGGGAGCCAGGAAGCTTACAGAACCTTGCTGAAAAACACGGGATCTATAGCTAAATCCAGAAAGCCCCCGGAGACCATTTGGACCAACCCCTCCCACAGGTGAGAAATAAAGAAAAGGGAAGCAGCCTTCGAAACCCTCTTATAAATGGCAAGATTTCAAGCCCTCTCTTTGCAACTGGCTTTTGTTTTTCATTGTTCACTCCAAACCTGCAACTTTTTCCGTTTTCAAATCACATTTTCTACTTACACCCACACTCTTATTACCCCAGTTGGAGACAGGGAAGTTTTCTTAGAATCTTTCCTCTTCTCCTTCCTACCCACTTCATCATCCAGTACTGTCCGTCCTTCTCCTTCATTGTCTCTTGTATCTTCCCTTGCTCTGGAATCTGCTGTCTTTCTACTACATCCATGAAGTGATGGGAGGGTCTGGAGATTTGACTTCACAAATATTCCATCCAGTATTCCTTTACATTCCCTCATATATCCTCCCTCCTGTGGACTCTTGAAACATCCCTCAGACACATCTGTCTGCCATTAGTCTTACCTCCTCTGATCGCACCTCACATCACCCCCAAAATCACCCTTTTAAAACTACTCAGGAAACTCTAATGCTTTCCTACGCCCTATAGCCAAGTCTTAAACTTCTCAACATTGCATCTGTCACTTTTAAACCTAGGCTTAATCTAATTTTTTTTTTTTTACTTCCCACCACTTCCCTCCATAGGCACACACCAGCATCTTCATGCTTCACACCTTCATGTGCTCTGCCCCTTCCCCAGATGATAAACCAACTCAGCCTTCTAGGCCCAGGTCAAATATCATCTCTTATTTTGTATCATTTTTAATCTTCATGCAGTTTTCAAATTGAGCTAGTATCTGAACCAAATCATTTAATTTCAAATTCTGTATTCTTTGTACTATTCTACAATTATCTCTGAGCAGTGACTTTGATAAAGTGTGGACCTTAGTAAAGAAATTCACTGCCTTCTAAAGATAGATTTATTGCAAAAAAAAAAAGTGTTGGTCAGATTAACACATGCCATATTAGGATCAAATTCTTGTGTTTGGAGGGAAGAATTTGTTATTATTTACTTAAAAGGTGTAAGTAGCAATATGCTGTTTTACGTAGTCAAGAATCAAGGAATTCCAGCCAAGATGGATTTGCCTTCAGATTGTGGCTTTTCAATTCAAATTTGATCATTCACTTTTATAATAGAAGTTGCCAGCCATGGATGCTGTGGGAGGAAAGAATGAATGGCTTAGCCAGACTCTTTACTGGGCACATGACTCTCCAAAAAAATCACTCCTTATTCTTGTCCTCAAAGAAACATGAGCCCAGCAGGAGATACAAAGAGTACCCAAACATGGTTCCAGCTTCATAAGCCTTCTTCCTGTTGTGTCTTCCATTGTCTTCCATTAACATTCAGATCAGAATTCAGTTAATCTACGCAGCCTCCGCCAGAGAGTTGGTTTTGTTTGCCATTTGTTTATTATTGAGTTTTCATATCTCCCAGCTAAGGTGCTGCTTCAGGTACATAATTCAGATTAGTCCTTTGGCCAAGTGAACTCTTGGGTGAAATTTGTCCCTTATCACTGAACACAGCATGGCCGGGTTTGTTCGGAAAGGTATGGCTGCTCCTTCAGGGGAATCCCAGCATGTCACAATATGCCAAATATTGTGAAAGAAGAAAGGGAAAAAGAGACTAGGAAGAAAATATCAGCACTTATAAACAGAGAAAAGATATTTTAGATATTTAAATACTATAAATCACATATGGTGCCTAAAAGCTATATGGATGTTTATTATTCAGTTCAGAAACTTGTGCATAGTTGTATTTACATTCAACTTGAAATTCAGTTTTTATTACCCCAATTCTTGGTCTAAACATGTGCCATGGCTCATAAATATTTGTTCTATGAACACATAGTACTGTTGTAGAAATAAATAAACATTCAGTTCAGAATTCAGTTAATCTAAGCAGCCTCCCCCAGAGAGTTGGTTTTGTTTGCCATTTGTTTATTATTGAGTTTTCACATCTCCCAGCTAAGGTGCTGCTTCAGGTACATAATTCAGATTAGTCCCTTGGCCAACATTTCAACCTCTGGTGATTTTGAAATAAAGTTGGCACAGCCCAGATGGCTAGCTTTGGATTGAGTCTTCTTGCTGAGTATAGAATCATTGTTTTGTAGAATGTCCCTTATATTTGGCCATTCTTGCACTGCTCTAGAGAAATACTTGAGACTGGGTAATTTATAAGAAAAGAAGTTTAATTGCCTCACAGTTCTGCAGGCTGTACAGGAAGCATAGTGGCATCTGCTCCTGGGGAGGTCTCAGGAAGCTTCCAATCATGGTGGAAGGTGAAGAAGGTGCAGATGTCTCACATGGCAGAGCAGGAGCAAGACAGAGAGAGTCAGGGAGGAGTTGCCACAAACTTTTGAATGACCAGATCTCACAAGAACTCACTATTGGGACAACAGCATCAACCCATGAGGGATCTGCCCATGTGATCCAAACACCTCCCACCAGGCCCCAGCTCCAGTACTGGGGATTACAATTCAACATGAGATATGGGTGGGGACAAATATTCAATCTATATCATCCCCTAATTGATGGTCAGTCTGTACAATACCACCAAATACCTAAGGGATGTTTTTCTCTGGGAAGCTTCAAGTAACTGAAAGAAAAGTATATCTGGAGCTGAGCTGCTGAAATCTTCATGATGTTTCTTCTTTATGGTTCCTTCTTAGTGACTAATAACTTCTGTTAGATGTTCATAGAAAAAAAAGCAGAATTATTATTACTAATGTTATTGTGAATAACTGTACTGATCCTTACTTTTTGGAGACTCAAAAAATTATGATGAGTAGAGCTAATTTCCTTTCCCTTGTGGGAGCAGGACTTAGTGACTTGTACCTAATGAATAGAGTACAGAAAGGGAAAAATAGTAACTTTACAGTTACTGTAGTTACAGTTACCAAGAAATCTGGTAGATACCACCTTAACTAAGAAAAGTTGCCATTTCCAGTGATAAGTCATGTTGATATCATGTATTCTTTGATATGATATGATGAGAAGTGTACCTTACCACTGTGGTATTCTTTCAAAAAGCTATAAACCCCAGTAAATAATGAGTAAGCAACAGACAAACACAACTGAGAAGCATTCTACAAAATACTAAACTAGCACCCTTCAAAAGTAATAAGGTCATGAAAAACAAGGCTAAGAAACAATCAAACTGGGGTAGACTGCGGAGACATAATAACTAAATGCAACATGGTAGCCTTGAATGGATCCTGGAAGAGAAATAGGACGTTAGTGGAAATACTAATGACATCAAATAAATACTAATGATATTGAATAAGGTTTATAATTTAGTTAATATTGTTATGCTACTGTTTATTCGATTTTATGAATGCACCTTTGTTTTATAAGATGGTAACATTAAATGAAGCTGAGTAGAGTGTATAGGAACTCTGTCCTATCTTTACAACTCTTCTGTAAATCTAAAATTATTTCAAAATTAAAAGTTTAAATAAGTCACAGTGAGTAATTATAATTATTTTCTCCATTTTATAAATATAAAAAACTGCTTGCTCAAGACAATGAAAAAAACAAGCCACAGATTGGGAGAAAATATTTGCAAAATACTTATCTGATAATGGACTGTTATCCAAAATATACAAACAACTCTTAAAACTCAACAATGAAAACCAAAAAATCTGATTAAAAAATGAAAATAGGTTAAGGATGTGACAGATGCTTTACCAATAAAGACATAGATGGAAAATAGGAATATGAAAACATGTTCCACATCATATAACTGTAAATTAAAGCAACAATGAGATACAACAGCACACCAATTAGAATGGCCTGTATTTAGAACGCTGACATCAAATGCTGGTGAGAATGTGAAGCAACAGGAACTCTCATTTATTGTTATTGGGAATGCAAAATGATACAGCACTTTGGCAGTTTCTTACAATACTAACCACATTTCAACCATATAATCAAGCAATTGTGCTTCTTGGTGTTTATCCAAATGAGTTGAAAACAAATCCATAGAAAAACTGCACACAGGTGTTGATAGCAGCTTTATTCACAATTTTCAAGACTTGGAAGCAACCAATATGTCTTTCAGTAGATGAATAGATAAATAAACTGTGGCACATCCAGGCAATGAAACATTATCCAGCCCTGAAAAGAAATGAGCTATCAAGCCATGAAGACATGGAGGAACTTAAAATGCATATTATTAAGGAAAGGAAGCCAACTTGAAAAGGCTACATACTGTATGATTCTGATTCTGTAACATTCTGGAGAAGGCAAAACTTGTAACAATAAAAAGATTTAGTGGTTGCCAGAGATTAGGGGGTAGAAAGGGATGCATAGAGCACAGAGGACTACTTATGCCGTGAAGTGATTCAGTATGATACTAAGATGGTGGATGCATGTCATTATACCTTTGTTGAAACCCATAGGATGTATAACACCAAGAGTGAACCATAATGTAAACTATGGACTTTGGATGACAATGATGTGTCAATGTAGGTCCATCAACTGTGGGGGATGTTGGTAGTTGGGGAGGCTGTATGGGTGAGAAGGAGGTATATTAATCTGTTTTCATGCTGCTGATAAAGACATACCGGAGACTGGGCAATTTACAAAAGAAAGAGGCTTAATTGGACTCACAGTTCCACGTGGCTGAGGAGGCTTCACAATCATGGGAGAAAGCAAGATGGAGCAAGTCACATCTTGTGTGGATGGTGGCAGGCAAAGAGAGAATGAGCTTGTGCAGGAGAACTCCTCTTTTTAAAACCATCAGATCTTGTGAGACTTATTCACTATTATGAGAACAGCAGAGGAAAGACTTGCCCTCATGATTCAATCACCTCCCACTGGGTCCCTCCCATAACATGTGAAAATTCAAGATGAGATTTGTGTGGGGACACAGCCAAACCATATCAGGAGGGTACAGGGAATATATGAGAACTCTCTGTACTTGCAGCTCATTTTTGCTATGAACCTAAATATGCTCCAAAAATTAAAGTTAAAAAAAAAACCTCTGCTTCCTAGATATCGCAAATCTTATATGTGTGCCTGAATGCCATAAGCAAGTCAAACGCAGCATGCCCCAAACTGAACTCATCATCTAATATGTCTCTACCACTCTTCAATTTCTGATTTGCATTAATGGCCTAATAATCTACCCAGGGCTCAAAATTAATTCTCCACTCCTCTCATTCTGTGCCTTGAATCTATCAGTCACAATATCCTGTTGAATTCAATCTTGTATATATCTTTCAGATCAAACTTTCTCTTTTCATTTTCCTGGCACTGTACTAAAAACAATTCTTCACTCTAGCTCTGCTATCTTCCAATCTGCCCTCCACCTTGTCTTCAGAGTGGCCTTCCAGAAAGCAGTATGATTAGCTTCCTCCCTGCATCATAACCTCCAGACCCACTCCACTACCCACAGAATAGGACCAGGGTAGGCCTACAACTGCCACCAACCCTTTGTTCCATCCCTGAGGAGCTTAATAGTGATTCTTGCCAATGCCAGGCCCAGTCCTACCTTCTACCTCTGTACCTGCTGGTCTCTCAGTTCTGAGTTCTTTTCCTTCCTCCCACAGGCATAGCCCTCGCTATCCTTCAAGCCAATACTCAGATCTCTCCTCCTCTGAGAAGCTTCCCCTACTAGCCTCTAACTCCCTGCAGTGTGAGATGATGTCTTCTTTGGGCGCACATAGCATTTTGCTGGCACTTGCAAAAACATCATGTTCGAATTATTGTGCTCAGTTATGTGCCTGTCCAATGACATGATGAGATCTTCACCAGCATAACCCTGTCTTATTCAACTTCATATAGCCCAGTGCCTGGCATTCATCTAGGCCTAATGCTTCAAGATTTCCACTAAACTTTTTATTACTGAGAAATTGAAAGCCATCGCACAGGGCAGCATCGTTATGTGTAGGTGGCAAACTGGTGTCCATGTGATTGTGAGTGAATGCACAGTATAAGATACCCTTATTGACAGACATATGTGTTTTTACTTCAATTTACCCATGTCAATGCTGGTATGTATCACTCTTCCTTTAACCATCATGATTCATTTATTCATCCATCCATTTGTTCATATTTGTTTTAGAAATGGTGGTCCTTGAATGAGGCATACTTTTTTTTTTTCCAGAAACTACAGGTAAAGTAAATTTTACTCTTTCTTTAGGTTTCTCCCAGGATGCGATTTGTAAATAAATGATCACATGCTCTTTACTTGTGAAAGCAATGAGAATATTCAAGATTTGAGCTTCAGCTGGTTCTTGATTAGGTTTGACAACTGCGTCCTAAAATTCTCTTCCATGAAGAATGAATGCAGTGTTTATGGCAGACAACCATCCTAGCCAAGAAAAATTTGAATAATGCAAGTATTGCATAATCATGTTATTTGTATCCCTTGACAGCAGAATTTACAATGCCTCATTTAATGAGAAATTGAATGGAAGATGTGTTTGAAAAATTAATCCATTTTAATAATATATGGCACTGATATTGGCCGTGTCTGTCAGGTTTTATACCTATAAACTAAGAGCCCATGAATATCAATTACAGTAAAAAATAATGAGATATGTATTATTTCCCTAAGGAAATTACTTTTAAAAATATGCATTCTGACACTCTCAAGATTAATTACACAATTATGCAGTTCCAAAGTGTAATCAGTGAAATTCTAAGCAGCAGTGAGAATGAGTATTTATATTTACTAAAAACTCAGAAGCCTCACTTCTGATGAAACTTTACAAAGTCACTGAAGTTTAGAGACTATGGCATTCCAATAAAAATACTTATCAATCTTTTATCTAGCAAAGTCTGGGGATTGGGGGTAATTTAACAGTAGCAAAGAAATAATGATTAGAACACTGCAAAATACACTGAGTCAAAACAAAGGCTGAATATTAAAGAACCAAAAGAAACAAGGTTTTTCACCAAAGGGAGGCTAGAAAAATAGATTTAAGAAGAAAATTCATTTCTGGAAATGTTTTTACAATGCTTAATAGAAGTGCTACTTTGGAAAGGCCGACATCGAGGTGAATAAACTGGGATAGAAATCATAAGTGAGAAATTAGCTTTGAGGCTCAAGAGTTTCCCACTCAGTCCCTGTAGTTCTGAGAGCCCAGGTCAGAAAGTTATACAAAACACAGCCTAAGTAGATTAATAGCATCTTGGGGCCCCACTAGCACCCCTGAGATTCCCATAATGTCTCAATGAGAGATCACCTCTTCTGCAGAGATGAAGCTCATCACATCTCACTGGAGCTAATTTCAAAGTCAAGCAGCTCTGATTATTTAGAAAGGCCTTCAGTACATTAAGCAGTATCAGAATTATCTGCTCCTATTAATCACCATTCCTAGCTCCTTTGTCTAAGACTATTCAGCCATTATTTGAAGACAGCTACCATGCTTCCCTTCCCTCCTCTGCTCCCAGGCTTCTGTTCTCCAGGCCAAAACACTTCAATTTCTTATTTCCAACATGTAATTTACTTTTCACTTATTTCCCAAAAATCTAAAATTTTTAGAGAGCAAAGGCCTTGTCCTATTCATCCAGCTATCACCAAACCAGTTTCTGGCACCCAGTATACTTTCCGTAAATGATATTCAGACAAATAGCTTTGTTTCCTTTCAGTAACCAGGTCCATCTCCTGTGATTTTATTGTTCATAAAATTAGGTTCATAGACATTGTTCTGTCTGTACGTCAACTTCAAGCTTATATAAAAGGACAATAAGGCATAAATAATTCACATAAACTCCTCAAAATTAGGATGAAAGAGGCTCAAGGGTTTGGGGAAGAGAGCAGTCAATACTACCCTCAAGAGAATCAAAACAAACATTAACCTCTCAGAAAGAGTCAGGCTGGAGAGAGACACCAAGAGAACTTGGTAAGTCCTTGGTGAGAACTTGGGAGCACACTTTTGCATGTTTATATTCCTTTACCATATGTTCTCCTACAAAGCTTATAATGTAGGGCAGCAAGAAAGAACATGTGTAGAGTATCACATCTCACTCTGTAGGCTCATCTTAGTTATAAAACCTCTCATAGAGAAGAGAGGAAGTTGGAGCAGTCAATGGAAATGAAGGAGAGGCTTCCCAGGCCTGAGCATAGGGAGGCTGACTTGGACATGGAAGGAGCCCTAATACTTAGAAAAGGAAACACTAGTGTGAGTGTTCCTGACAAAAAGCTTAATAAGAAAATATATATTATAGAAAATATAGAAAATATATAGAAAAAATATAGAAAATATATATTATATCATATTATAGTTTCATGTTTCATGGACATGTAATTGGGATCATAGGGCTTGTTTTAGATCAGTTTAATATAGCCAATAGTCTTGGCCTTCCAGAAGGATCGATGGAGGCTGGTGGCCAAAAACTCCAGGCCATATTATTGGCCTCCCTCTTAGCTGACCCTGCTTTTGAACAGGACTGTTCTGTCCCTCAACCTTCCCTGTCTATCAGCAAATGATAAAGAGAATTTTCTGTGCCAGGAACAATGTCATGGAGGCCTAAAAGATGAAATCCCCTGTGCTTAATGTTCCTCCCAAGGTAAGGCCTGGAGCTCCAAAGGGCATTGACCTGTTCTTGGTTTTTCACCCTATATAGGTGACAAGTACCTTAAAAGTAGGCAACGACATTTATTCTACTCTTATGCCGTTCTGAAAACCTAGAATACCAATTAGCACTCAGCTTCTGACTCACACTTTTTAAGATTTTGTAGTTGGTTAAAGTAAAATGACAGTAACTGAAGCACACAACACATTATAAACATTGGTCATAATTACATCTACATACTGAATTATCTATACAATTAAATAAATTATATAGCACTGATACTTGTTCATGAGGAACCTAGAATACTTGCTTACACATATTAGTGGTACATATTTATTTGTTAAAATCATCAGAATCCATTTTGTGCACATAACACTACTAAGAAATAGGAAGGAGTAAGAAAAATAACAGTCTTACCTTAATAAATTTATTACATATATTATCACAAAAGTGATGCAACCAAGGCTGCTACAAAGCAGATTGTTTTATTTTATACATTCTTTAAATGTATAAGTATGTTTCTGAATAAGTCTATTTAGAAATAAAAATATATATTTCAAAGATTCTGGAAAACCAGTGATATGCAAGATATCACCTATTCATTCTAGATCAAACATTAACCAGAGTCTATAATCAATGTAAGGAAACAAAATATTTTGCATATTTCTAGACTGGCAATAACTTGATTTTTAAAGTTTTTATTCATGACGTGGTTATATGCAAGAGCTGGTGGTTAGAAGACAATTAATGTCTTGATAAATATACTTGCCATCCATTCTAGATCAAAGTCATGAACATCTGGATAAAGCTTCACTTGGTCTGAAAATGAATCAGATAATGTTAAAGTATCCAAAATATTGACTTAATCACATCTGTTATTTTATGAGGATGGACAGGAAAGAAATTTAATGCTGATACTAGCATAATAATTTGGGGATTTTTTAAAATACGAAAAGATGAGTTGTCAGAATAGAGACTACAATGGCTGGAGCCCTCTCTAAGAAGATATTATAAACATAGCTTTCTTAAAGATCCCAACCTAACAAAAATTTTATGTATCTACATTTCTAGAAGATACAGAATGCCAAATATTCCAATGTAAGGATGGTCCTGAGAAAAAAGATCCTTGGAAGTCTTTAGAGTGGTAATCATATGCCAATGTCCCTGCTGAGAGATGGTATAACCTCATGTTGAACAGCTGCTGTTAGAGTGGTAAGAACATAATTCCCTAATGGCTTATCATCTACCTTGTGGGTTTTTCTGGAAGTAAACCAAGGCATCAAACTGAAACTCAGGAGACTGAGAATGTAACTAAATAGTTATAGGTCACTAATGTGAAGTCAAACATGGACACCGGAGATGGGCTGTAATTGATCTCAAGGATCTATGTCACATGAACCAGTTTTTCCTTTCAAGTCCAAGGTACTATGGTGGGAAAGAACCATGACGAGGTCTGGGAATCAAGCATCCTTTATTTTTATCTTGGCTCTGATACTAAGCAGCCTTTTGATATTGGCAAATCAATTCATTTTATTGAGTTTGTCTTCCAAAAATATGGAGAATCTCCTTACTTGAATCACTGTTTTTGTGAAGCTCCAGCAACACTGTGGGTGAAAGTGTTGTGCCCCTGTGAGACAGCATTGTATAACAGGGAAAGATGACATGGTCCTGATTCTAAATAAGGACAACGACTTTCCATATTTATGAATCAATCAGAGACACCCATACATGAAGGCAGAAAAATAGATGAGAAGCTCAGATGCAATATTCCTGCAGAAAAAAATGCTGCAGCATTGTGAGGTTTCAACACGCAGATTCTAGAGCTGGTATTTTGGTTGCTGTTATTCAACCTACAAAGGATTTATTTCCCTTTACTGAATTCACAGGTTAGGCCATATAAGTCAGATCTGCTTCTCTTGAGATGAAGATGCTGGCCCCGATCTGTCTGTTTACATAATGCCTTATGTGTTGTTTCCCCTAACATAACCTCACATGCAATGATTTGCCACAGAACAAAGTGTGCAGTATGCAGAGCAAGGATGGTTTTTTCTAGTCCACACAGGAGAACAATAAAATCCAATTAATTTAAATCAATTAAAGCGAAATATCTTAGTATCTTCTAGGTACCTCACACTGCTGAGTGTTATTGGACATAAAAGATGCACAACAATGCCTGTTGACCACAGTCTATCTGAAAAGGCAAGAAGCTAAATGTGCTGTATAGTAAGCAACTTACTCTGCAAGTTAAGCTGCACTCTCTGTGCAACGTTTAACAAGGTATCTTTCCTGACTAAGTCGTACAAACAGAAACAACAGGAAAGATGTCTGTTAAAAGTTGCACACGGAATCGATGATGAGTTAGGATAAGGACCAATATCTCCTAACCATCAGGCTAGTGTTCTTGTCACTACTTCACACAGAGTTCATGTTCAGTATACCTTTAACAGATGGCTCTGCAGCTTTTTTTTTTTCTACATTCAGAAGAGATCTTCTTTTACAACAGAAAAGACCTATTGTAGTTCATAAAATTGGATAATCCAAAACGTGTTTATCAATAGTACTAGAAACATGCAAAATTCAGTCTGTTTTTATTTAAATCAGTAATCCATGTATTACCAGCTACCAACAAGGCTATGTCTGAGGCTTTAAAGGATGAGTAGAATTTTCTACAGGAAAAAAAAATTAGGGAAAAGCATATTGAGAAAGTGTGGGGATACATTTGCAGATCAGATTTACACTGCTATTAAATGCAAAAGTGAGTGCTTTGGCTGCTGTTCATTCGTAAGTGTGTGCACAAGCCTAGACAGGGCGACGTACAGGCTTCATGAAATATGCATAAGCCATCGCCTAATTTCCTTACAACGATTATGCAACTATTTCAAAGGTATTGTTCAGGCGTTCTAACAGCGTTTATTCCTACAAAGCCTGTATTTGTTTCATGAGCTTTTATGCGTAATTATTTTGATGGACTTACCCTAGAGTTAGTTCCCTTTATATTATTTTACTATTGTACTCATTTTTCATTCACCCCACAACAACACTGTCCTCATTTAATCTTTGTGAATTCAGAAAGTTTAGGTTGAATTATTTTCCCTTTCCTTTAGAAAAGTAGTCTTACAGATAAGACACTCCTTGAGTAACACCAAAGGCATCTCAGCCACCAGCATTCCAGAAATTTCTGCAGGCTGATTACACATTGACAGAAGCAGACAGACTTCCTCTTGTCCTGGCTCATAACTGTTTGACCTCAGGAGATAACCTAAACTGGGTCAGGCTCATTTTGAGAAAATAAAGATTCAATGTTTCAATGTGTAGGCTGGACATGGTGACTCAAGCCTGTAATCCCAGAACTTTGGGAGGCCAATGTGGGAAGACGGCTTAAGGCCAGGAGTTTGAGATCAGCCTGGGCAACATAAAAAGACCCTATCTTTCCAAAATATTTTGAAAAAATTAGCTGAATGTGATGGTGTGCACCTGTACTCCTGGCTACTTGGGAAGCTGAGGCAGAAGGACCACTTTAGCCCCAGAGTTTCAGACTGCAGTGGGCAATGATCATTCCACTGCACTCCAGCCTGGGTGACAGAGTAAAACCCTGTCTTCAAAAAAAGAAAAAAAGATTCAATGTACGTATAAATATAATTTTTATTACAAGGCAAAGTGTTTTTAAACAACCAAATATAGCTGGTAATAAGTTACTTTCTCAGTAATGTCTTTCCTCCATTCTCTATAAAAGTGCACATTTCTCCTTTTTCAATTTGGTTAAACTGCATGCTTATTTTTGCCTATGCAGATACAACCTTTCCTCTTTTTTTGTTTATTTTATCTTCTATGAGTAGAAAGGCAATGAGATTTGAAATCATAAGTGGGACTGAATACTAATAATGTGACCATGAAAAAGTTATTTTAAGCCTTCACTTCCTCACTCGTAAACATATAATCGACAGCTTGTAAAAGTATTATGTGTGTGTTCACTTGTATATATACACACATATATATACACACATATATCATATATGTATGAACAAAATATTTACCACACATTTTGGGGGGAGGATGGAATGAGATAGTACAGTGGGTTGCTTAATATACGTTAGTCTTTCTCCTTCTCAACTCTGAAACTTAGACTGATCAATTGGACATATTATATAATATCTCTGCAGATAATCTTTTTGTTGTTGCTGCTATTTAGTACCAAATCAACATCCATGTTACCATGGATGAAAATCACTGTCATTGGTCCTGAAATATTATCATCAAAGTCATGACTTGTAGAATTATGTCCAAAGAGAGAATAAAAAAGGTCAAGATGATTAAGTAAATATATGTAAAGATTTTCTCATAGACCCAACCAACAACTTTGTAGCTATATTAAACTAAAGTCAATATAACATGATCCCACATTAATAGAAGTATAGCATTACTCAAATTGTTATGAAGATAAAGAACTTACTACTCTCCACAGCAGCCTGTTACATTGTTGAATATCTATTATTATTATTACAAAAATATTTATGTTCACTGAGTCCTATAACATTACTGTAAACCTGTGCTATGCCTTCTGGGGGCACATTAGCTCAATTCATGCTTCACAGGTTCATCTAGATATGATAGCTTTGGCAAAATGTATTAATAAGATTATTCATAAGAACATAAGCAAAGCAGATGCAGAAAGATTAAAAATAACATTATGACTACGAAGCATTTTAAAAGGGCTACATAATTTTACCACATGTATTACAGAGCAAAAGAAAAAGAGAGTGAGAGATGGAGAAGGCAAAATAGGAGAATTTAATAAGATACCTGTAATGTATCAAAACCGATTTCAGATGTCAACTCTTTAGTCCAATCTTCTCACAATATTTCAGAGTCCATCACTCTCTCCTCTGATTTCATCTGGAATTTTCTAGTTTTTCCTGCTATAGGCTTATTGCCTAGTGTACTAATAAGCTGTTTTCTATTTCTTTCATCTCACTGGACTGTGCCAGGCTCCAGGACAGAGACAGGTTCTTATTTTTCCCTTTTTAGGAACTCACTCTTGATTGAATGAGTAAATTCGACATCCAGGGAGGAAACTATCAGTACAGGGAGGGAGGTGCTTCTGCATAATCATATGTATTCCACATGCTGGATGTGTTGGGCGGGGTTACATCTAAAGAGGGAGAATGCATGCATGCCTTCTCTGGCCCTTTTGATTTTGATATGCTCAGGAAGAGGATACTATTATAATCACCAAGCGTTTCTATTCGAATTCCTCAATAAATACTACGACAATTTTATTTTATGAAATGGAAAGGATGTACATTTAAGCAAGAAATTGTATTGCAGAAAGATCAGGACCCAGGAAATATACATTTTTCTCTTCTCTGGATTTAGCTACATTTGCCTGTTTAACACTATAATTTCTCTGTGGTAGTAGAATACACTCTTCAGTTTTTCTATTATTCTTTCTAGGTTAACAGTATCAGTACTGAAATAATTTCTCGTTAACAGATACCTTGGTTATATATATTTTCTCCTCTTTGAATATTTGTCTAAAAATCTCTGTGTTTGCAAGAAGTCTCTGCTTAGTTTTTTACTTTTGACACACTGAAGTGTGTATGTGTATATATTACGTGTGTACATATAAACCCACAAATATATCAGTTATTATATAATACACATCCATTATATATCAAATATATTATGTGTATATATGCATATATATTTATACATATATTAGTATATATTAGTATACATATATACATGTATACATGTGTATATATACATATACTATACTATATATACACTATACTATACAATATATAGTGTATATATATACTATATATAGTATATATATACACTATATATAGTATATATATACACTATATATAGTATACATATATACTATATATAGTATACTATATATACTATATAGAGTATATATAGTATACTATATATAGTATAGTGTATACTATATGTATACTATGTACACTATACTATATATAGAATACATAGTATATATACTGTATATATAGTATACTATATATACTGTATATACTGTATATACAGTATACTGTATATACTGTATATATAGTATACTGTATATACTGTATATATAGTATACTGTATATACTGTATATATAGTATACTGTATGTATACGATGCATACTATATATACTGTATATATGTATACGATGCATACATATATATACTATATATGTATACGATGCATACATATATACTATATATGTATACGATGCATACATATATACTATATATGTATACGATGCATACATATATACTATATATGTATACGATGCATACATATATACTATATATGTATACGATGTATACATATATACTATATATGTATACGATGTATACTATGTATGTATACTATGTATACTATGTATGTATACTATGTATACTATGTATACATATATACTATATATGTATATTATGTATAGTATACTATATATACTATATATAGTATATGTAGTATTCTATACATGTATAGTACATGTAGTATTCTATACATGTATAGTACATGTAGTATTCTATACATGTATAGTACATGTAGTATTCTATACATGTATAGTATATGTAGTATTCTATACATGTATAGTATATGTAGTATTCTATACATGTATAGTATATGTAGTATACTATACATGTATACTATATGTAGTATAGTATACATGTATACTATATGTAGTATAGTATACATGTATACTATATGTAGTATACATATAGACTATATATACTGTGTACATACTATATATGTATACTATATATACTATATATACATACTATGTATACTATATATACAATATACTATATATACAATATACTATATATACTATATAGTATATATACTATATATACAATATACTATATATACTATATAGTATATATACTATATAATATACTATATATACTATATAGTATACTATACATACTATATAGTATATATACTATATATACTACATAGTATATATACTATATATACTGTATATATAATATATATGTATACTATATATACATATATAGTATATATAATATACTATATATACAGTGTATATAGTATACACTACTATATACAGTGTATATAGTATACACTACTATATACAGTGTATATAGTATACACTACTATATACAGTGTATATAGTATACACTACTATATACAGTGTATATAGTATACACTACTATATACAGTGTATATAGTATACACTACTATATACAGTGTATATAGTATACACTACTATATACAGTGTATATAGTATACACTACTATATACAGTGTATATAGTATACACTACTATATACAGTGTATATAGTATACACTATATACACTATAGTATACACTATATACACTATAGTATACACTATATACACTATATATAGTATACTATATATACACTATATAATATATATAGTATAATAGTATAAGATACTATATAACATATTATATATTATACTATATATAATATATAATATATTATATATTTATATTTTTATAATATATAAATATTATATTTTAAAAATATATATTATAAAATATTTATTATATTTTATATTATATATAAAATAATTATAATATATATATTATAAAATATATATTATAAAATATTTAAAAATATATAATATAAAAATATATATTTTATAATATATAATTATATTATATTATATAATATATAATATAATATATAATATATAATAGTATAATATACTATAATATACATATAATATATAGTATAATATAATATAATATATATTATATATAATATATATACTATATACACTATATATAGTTTATATATACTATACATACACTATATATAGTATGTAGTATATATAGTATACTATATATAGTATATAGTATATAGTATATATAGTATACTATATATAGTGTGTTTCTATAGTATACATATATTGTATACTATATAGTATACTATACTGTATAGTATACTATAGAGTATATATATACTGTATATACAGTATGTAGACTATATATACTATACATACTACATATACTCTAGATATACTATATATGTATACTATATATAGTATACGCATACTATATATGTATACTATATATACTATATAGTATACGCACACTATATATGTATACTATATATACTATATAGTATACGCACACTATATATACTATATAGTATACGCACACTATATATACTATATAGTATACGCACACTATATATACTATATAGTATACGCACACTATATATACTATATAGTATACGCACACTATATATACTATATAGTATAGGTATACTATATATGTATACTGTATATACTATATAGTATATATATAGTACATATACTATATAGTATATTTATACTATATATGGTGTACTATATATACACTATAGTATACTACATATATAGTATATATGTACTATGCATACTATATACTATATATAAATATGTAGTATACTATACATTTTATATTATATATTATATATTATACATTATTATATACTATATATATTATATATGTGTATATTATATGTGTATATGTATACACATACATACATTATATATTAGTATACTATATACACTATAACATGTATAGTATACTATACTGTTATCCACACATATATCCATTATATATATATAAAATATATATTATGGGTATATATAGTATTACGGTGACACATATGCATATATACATACATACATACAACATACCTATCCAAACCTAAAACACCAAATAGAATGAAAACAAAAATGTTTTAATATATTAGTATTTTTCAAATCTTACTATTTTATTCAAGAAAAGATAAATAGAATTGATTAAAGATTATAATGAGTCACTCGAGTGTCAATAATAGAAGCAAAGTGCAAATTATAATAATTCCACTTTTAAATGAAAAAGGGCACATCTGAGCAATAAATTATATTGTAGAAGGACCAGGACCTCCATATTAATTTTTTTTCTATTCCAAGCATGACACTCCACTCTGCTGACATTTATGAATAGACCATCGCCAATTGTGACATTTCTATGTTGTGTGTCACACAGACACTTATCTTTATAATCACTTTTCAGGAGAAACTGTTCAATATGATAGTTTGAGAAAATGGTATGTACATCGGGGGCAGTAATTCTGGTGAGGCAGACACAAAAGCAAAACAAAATTACATACATTCTTAATTTTTTCTCATATATGAATGATTAATTTCTTAAATAACACACCGGAATCCTGTCCTTATATGTCATTCCTTTTCTACATATGGTAGAAAGGTTGTAAAAAGCACAACATTTTGGAGTAAGAATAGTATGTTTAATATATATGAGGGTACTAAAATGTTTTGTGTAAATCGAATTCTGATTTCTACGGACTTGCATTGCCATCTTAAGGCTTTGAGATTTTCACCAAAGCCCACTCTTCAGGAGCACAGCCAACTGGCCTTAAACTAGTTGTGAGGGGGCAGGATCAGCTTAAAATTAGTCAGCAAAATACTTATCAAGAGCACAAAAAGACCATGAGGGACCGTCCATGGTCCTCTAGGAATTAAAAATGTTTGTATTGTGGGAGAGATGTTAGTGTAGGGCCCCAAATTCACAAACAATGGAAGATGAGGATTAGAGCCAACTTATTTCTCACTTTGGTAAGGAAAACAGCTGCTGCTACACAGGAAGATTCTGTCAAAGCAAAGGAAATAAGAACCTAAGAAAATAAGAAGATAGTTTGTTAAAAGATCTGGGTACCCCTGGAACCTTTATCAGCTGGCTGTGTGACCATAGGCAAGTCACTTCCTCTCTCTGGGCTTCTTGCTGGTCCCCAAGATGGCTTCCAGTTCCTCATAACAATATACGAGTTCCAAATTATTCCCAGTATATGTCCTGGCCAAATATGAATCCTGACCCTGTGTAGGAGAATTCTAGGGCCTGAACAAGTCATTGACTCATTGTTAATGCTTAGTATCAGTGGTTTGCAGAGATTTGGTAAGAAGCAGAAATAATATGTGTGAAGCCCCAGCCACAGTGCTTGGCACTTTACTGGCAATGATAGATGCTCATACTATCACTTATTACCAGCAACCTCAAAGTCAGCACAATATGTGCCTCAAAGTCAGCAAATAATTATGTGTTATTATTTAAACGCAATGATTAATAAAAGTATCCACGTATGGTAGAATTCACTGATAAATTTTCCACTGAAAAAGGGATACTCTGACATAAACAGTTACTTGACTATTGACTTGCCTTTCAGCCAAAAATAATTTAGCTCAATTTTAAAAATAATTTTACCTCATATTTGTGTAGCACTTCACAAATGCCAAGAATATTATCTCACATGACAACCCAATAAGATAGAATAGGTATTTATATCTCCAGATTATAGACAAGTAAATAATGGCTCAGATTGATTTCTTCAAGGTCACATGAGTAGCAAAAGGCCAGGATGGGGCTAACATTGAAATCTCTGGACTCTGATATAGCATTTATTTATTCACATTAAGACTTCTAGCTTTTGTTGCCTGATGTCTACTTTTCTTGTTTTTGCCTATATGCATAAAAACAAAGATTAAGTATAATGACCATCTTACCTGATCTGAAAATAAAGTGGCTATGTACACAGTAGTTTAATTCACAACAATAAATCACCATGCACACGCACACAAACACATACATTTTACTCTAATATCAGAAGATAATAAAAGAAATTAGTTATTTTACCTAGGTTCTTTTTTTGTTGAAACATAAAGATGATTTCTTATTAGACAGCTTACTGTAATGTCAAATGACAGTGTGTTTATTACTGACATTTTATAAGACGTTTAACCATTTGCATGAGAAGCTGCTTCAGCCCAAGCAAAACTGGAAATAGAATACATCTTCCATAAAAAGAAAGGTCACAATTGGATATTCACCAGAGTAATTTAAATTTTTTAATACCATGGTGCAGCTAAGGTGACAGCAGAAAGTTGTAGGTGTAAGAAAAAAATAATTCCTTTACCCTGCAGAATTCAGAAGAAAATGACCAAATACTTCAGTGGAAAATTGAGGGAGGATTATCACCCCTCCACACCATGTAAAGTACAGTTATTATTCATGCTGAATTACATAGTTATCACAATCTAGCACACAGTACTGTTGCTGATAATCAGAGTACAAAGAGACTAAAGGTAATTAGGAGCTACCATATAAATCATTTTGAAGCACAGATGAATTATCCTCTTTTGTTTCTTAAGTTATTGGTCAGTGTTCAAGGTATTATAAGTTTGTAGAGTTTATTTTTTTTATTTCTATATAATATTTTATTCAAAGAGTAGAAGTTATTTTCCTTAAGAAAATAGTCCTGAATTTTTTTCCCATTGTGGTTCATTTGTTTTTGCTTTTGAGTTACACAACATATTGCAAACAGTGACACTGTGATTTATAATAAGATATACGTATGTATGTACATGTATGTATGGTCTTCTCCATGTTTCCTGGCACAGATCCCTAAAACCCTTGAAATCTCTAAAGTGTGAGTGCCTCTTTTATGCTAGTGAGATGGTTTATGGCTGGTAGCTTCAGGATGGGGCTCATAGTCAGAAAAACCAAGGCATGATTTGGGAGTTGAGACTTCCACCTCCACTCTCCAGCCTCCAGGGAAGAGAAAGGAGCTGAGGTTTAAATTAATCACCAATGACCAATGATTTACTCCATCATGCCTAAGAAATGAATGCTTCATAAAAACCTAAATAACTAGATTTGGAGAGCTTCCAGATAGCTGAATATGTGGAAGTTCCTGGAGAGTGGTGCACCCAGAGAGGGTATGGAAGCTTTGCACACCCCATCGCATACCTTGCCCTGTGTATCTCTTCATCTGGATGACCATCTGTATACACTGTAATGTCCTATGTAATAAACTAGGAAACAAAGCTAAGTGTTTCCCTGTGAATTCTGTGAGCTTTCCCAGCAAATTAATTGAACCCAAGGAGAAGGCAATTGGAGCCCCAGTTTATAGCTGGTCAGTCAGAAGTATAGGTGACAACCTACTACTTGCATTTGGCATTTGAATTGGGTGAAAGCCTTGTGGAGCTGAGCCTTTAGCCTGTGGGATCTGCCACTATGTCCATGTAGACAGTGCCAGAATATAATTAAATTATAAGACACTGAGTGGGTGTCCACTGGAGAATTGGAAGAAATCTCTATACACATTTTGTTGACCAGAAGTGGGATGTTGTGTTGAATATTGTTTAACTGTGTGTGAGAATAGGAAAAACATGTTGGTTGTTCTTGTATCTCTTTCACAAGCATGTGGTCAAAAGCATTATGCAGAGATTACAGCAAGATGTTTATGTGCTAACAATCCAAATCTGCAGGCACATGAGTTCCTCAGCAGAGTCACCACACAGACTTGGGTGTACAGAATTGGACCCAACTTAAAGTCCAGTCTGTAATGACCAATGTCTGCTACTAAAAAGAGAGAAGCAAAGCCTTATAAAAGAATCAATTTTTATCTAACCCACACAGAAATTGATCAAAACTGACCAATGCTGGTTAAAGATCATTGGCTAGGTTAGAAGCTCAAAGTCACTCTTCTCTACATTTGGGGCTTATAATAATGTCTGCTAAGAAGGTTACTTTGCTCCTTATCTGGAGGAAACACACAGAAAGTAAAGATAATGTGAATCTCTAAATGTACACATACACACACTCATAATTACATCCCATGAGACAAGAAGAGTAAATTTTTAGAAACTATGATTTGTAGATATATTTTCTCTATGAGCTTATGGTAACAGATAGTGATAGGAAATAGAAAATTCTTGTTCATATTCTTTTTTAAAAGGAAAAATGACATTAAGTCCAGAAAGTCAGAATGAATGACCCATTTTAAATGTACTGATCTAGATTTCTATAGGAGTAGCTTAGTTATGATTATATAGTCTTCCTAAGAGATTTTTTAAAGAATGAGTGTGAGTTAAGTGAGATCTTCAGTGGTGAGATTATTTATACTTAACTGGTGGAAATATAAACTCCAGGAGCCAACCTGAAACACCTTCCAGCATCTCTCCACCTTATTCTTACCTCCCTCTAGTTTCCTATGTGACCATGGACTCTTGCATAAGTCCAAACACACCAGTAGCTCATCTAAAGCCTGGGAATTACTGGTCTCCCACCGTTGACAAGGCTGCAGCTCCTTAGAATGACTGACTGCTTCACAGTGGTCAGATCCCAACTCCTTGATAGGTATCAGCCCTTCTGGAAATACTATATCATAGTCTGTAGAATTGCACAGTAAATCGAATGCATCGTAAATCCCACACATAGTCTCTGTTTTACTAAAAATTAATAATATATTTGTACTTATTTGTTAATAAGTAACATTTGTTCTTAAAATCTACCCATTTCAAGTCAGGAAAAGTTCAAAAAGACATGGAACCTAAGCTATTGTGTCTCTCTTGCTACACTTGTAATTTCATACAAATGATTTAAGAATCCAGATAATATAATCTATAAAAGGAGAAAATGTTGAATACACATTAAGCAACTATTGACAAAAGTATTATTTTAGTATACGTGTCAATCTGAAAATTAAATATACCAATAAGGTCAGTTTTCTGAAAGGAAATTAGGTTGAGCAAGAGCTACATATAAGAGGAAAAAGGTCCTACTGTGAAATGGCCACAGTGAGGAAGGAATCCTAGGATCACAGGCTAACAAGGCTATGGGTCACCATGACAAGGTCCAATATATGCAGCAGATGGATCTTTCTCTCTCTCTCTCTCTCTCTCTCTTTCTCCCCCTCTCCCCTCCTCCACTCTCAGTTGTGGAAATGCATAAATATTTCCCTCTCCTAAATCCAAGAGAATAGAAGATGAGATAGAGATAAAGTCACTAAGCCAAAAAGTACAGAGTGTGATAAAAGAAATGAGAAATATCAAGTAAAAAAAAGTCCTTCTACTGGCCCAGGAATTAAAAGTCCCAAACACGAACTGCACAAAGGCTTCCCAGATATCAGCAGCACCACGTGGCCATATCTCAAAGCTTAACTCACTACTCTTGTAGAGAAGATTAAATCTTCATTTTGGGAGTCACTGAGAAACAGAAACATGAAACCCAACATGTTTAATTTTCTAAATGATAGGAACGTTATAAACCACAACTGCATTTGGTCTTTCCCTCTCAGTCTCCTCAAAGCATTTCTACCTTCACTGAGCTTCTGAACACAGTCGAAGTGGTTGCATACAGCTCCTCAATGAACACCGTTGACAACTTCAACTTCCCGATATGCTAAGACTAGCCTAGCCCACATGGAGGGAAGGTTCTATCCCAGCTTCTGACACTGCTACCTGATACTCTGAAATACTCTTTTCCCCTTTAACTCTTGGAATTGCTGATTGCAATATTGTTGGTGTGTCACTGATGGAGTCTCTCCTTGGCCAAATTTTAGTTGGGCTTCTCTGAATCCTCTTTCCAACTCAGTCCTAACTTTTGGACTTCTGTGTCCTTCTTTTTATCACTTAATTTTAGCAAGACTCCTGTTGGTCAGTTCAGCCAGAATCTCTTCTTACCCCGGATGTTTCTTCTTAAGAATTTTCCATGCACTGACCCCACTCTGCTCCTTGTCTATAAATTCTCGTTTTTTCTTGTATTCAGAGTTTAGCCCAATCTCTCTCTCCTATTGCAAAACTCCATTGCTGCAATCCCTATACCTATTGCGATAATCCTGAATAAAAAGCTTGCTTTAATGTTTTAACAAGTGTCATAAATAATCTTTTTTCTTTAACATCTTCTCTAGGTTAAAGCCCTGACCCCTGCCATTCACTATGGGAGAAGACAGCAACAGCTTTTCTGCCCCACTGGTGTTCTCTAGGGCTTTCTGACCCAGGTCCTCATCAGCGCAGTCCCTAGCGTTGAGCCCAGCAACCCTAGGATCAAGGCCTTGAAAGACAAGGTTTTGGGATCTCCCAAAGGTAATTGGGATGTTTGGCATTGTTTGCATATTAGTCTAGAAAACCTCACATACATCACTTGCTCCAGCACAGATTACACTTCTTAAAAAAGACCCGAAAAGAACATCAGGATATTAAAACACAAAACGCAACACAACTGTATGTGAATTTCTGTGCTCAAGAGAACATAGTGAAAATTAATGTTGTGATCTTTCTGAGCACATATCTTTTGCCAACAATGTTTCTTCAACCACTGTTAACTAAATCCAAGGACCTATTACATCGCAAATGGAAGATTAAAGAGAGTTTTTTTCTAAGCAGATTTGTTGTACTCTTGCAAGGCAATCTCTTGCTCAATAGAATTGTTTATCTATGGAAAAATATTTTACTTTGAGCAAACCTCCCTCAAAGACCCTAACATAACTACTCTCTGATAGCCATTTTAGAGACACATTGAGCAAAAGATTCACAGTAACAGGAAGTTCATGAAATTACTCCTTTAGCACAATAAATTGTTCAAAACAATTCTAATATATTGAAGAGTTAAACTTCCTCAGATATTACAATTATAAAGATTACAGAAAAGTATTTTATATATATAGTTATCTAAGATTCTTTCTGTGGGTGGAGGGAGAAGTGGTATCAATTTGCACTGTGTACAGATAAGTTCAAGATTTGAGCATCTTCTAATCTTATTTAATAAACTAGTCAATATTGACATAGTCTCATGACAGGATTAGGCAGCATTGCTTAAAATAAACAGGTATCAATCTTGAAAACTAGAGAAACCCTTCAGAATCATTCTATTTAACTCCAAGAGCAGTGCCAAGTACCACATGGAAGGAGAGCTCTCTTGCATATTATTAATAACTACTCAAGTAGTGGAAGAACACCTGAGCTATGTACAGCACTGGATGGAAGCAGCAGATTCATAAACAGCACAAAGAATCACCCCTGTTATCCAGGAACTCACTCCACAAGGGGGGTTGAAACCTTAGACAGGCAGAGGCCAATCCAGGTGATGTGAGACTGCAGCATATTCTATTTTGAGGATTCTTTTAAAAATTAAGAGTAAAAAACTAAATATAAGAATGAATATTTATTGAGATAAGAAAAACAAATTATGAATTTTAAAAGAACTGACAAATACTATAAATATCATACCATTCAGAAATGTCAACATACTAGTTTTATTAAATAACTGCCTAGTGCCTCTATGATTTTTTTCCTTGCATTTTCTGGCTACATGTGTTTTTATCACCGCTTTGTGCAGAGTTTGTAAAATAATTTTACATGAAGAGAATAGAATATAATTCTTTCATTTTGTATGATTAAACAAAAATTGTTTAATTAGTTAACTGAATTGTATAAACACAACTTCATATATACATGTATTTGCTGTTTGTAGGACGGCAACAGGTTTGTGCCATACAAACACAGAAATTCTAGTATATTCTGATAAATTTACACAATTCCTATCAAAAAAAGCAATTTATCTTCCTTTTTTTATTATTTTTTAAATTATACTTTAAGTTCTGGGGTACATGTGCAGAATGTGCAGGTTTGTTACATAGGTATACACATGCCATGGTGGTTTGCTGCACCCATCAACCCGTCATCTACATTAAGTATTTCTCCTAATGCTATCCCTCCCCTAGACCCCACCTCACAACAGGCCCCAGTGTGTGATGTTCCCGTCTGTGTCCATGTGTTCTCATTGTTCAACTCATTTATGAGTGAGAACATACAGTGTTTGGTTTTCTGTCCTTGTGTTAGTTTGCTGAGAATGACGGTTTCCAGCTTCATTCATGTCCCTGCAAAGGGCATGAATGCATCCTTTTTTATGGCTGCATAGTATTCCATGGTGAATATGTGCCACATTTTCTTAATCCAGTCTATCATTGATGGGCACTTGGATTGGTTCCAAGTCTTTGCTATTGTGAACAGTGCCACAATAAACATATCTGTGCATGTGTCTTTATAGTAGCATGATTTATAATCCTTTGGGTATATATCCAGTAATGGGATTGTTGGGTCAAATGGTATTTCTGGTTCTAGATCCTTGAGGAATCGTCACACTGTCTTCCACAATGGTTGAACTAAGTAACACTCCCACAAACAGTGTAAAACAGTTCCTATTTCTCCACATCCTCTCCAGCATCTGTTGTTTTCTGACTTTTTAATGATCGCCATTCTCATTGGCATGAGATGGTATCTCATTGTGGTTTTGATTTGCATTTCTCCAATGACCAGTGATGATGAGCCTTCTTTCATATGTTTGTTGGCTGCATAAATATCTTCTTTTGAGAATTGTCTGTTCATATCCTTTGCCCACTTTTTGATGGGGTTGTTTTTTTCTTGTAAATCTATTTAAGTTTTTTGTAGATTCTGGATATTAGCCCTTTGTCAGATGGATAGATTGCAAAAATATTCTCACATTCTGTAGGTTGCCTGTTCACTCTGATGATAGTTTCTTTTGCTGTGCAGAAGCTCTTTAGTTTAATCAGATCCCAATGGTCTATTTTGGCTTTTGTTGCCACTGCTTTTGGTGTTTTAGTCATGAAGTCTTTGCCCATGCCTATGTCCTGAATGGTATTGCCCAAGTTTTCCTCTAAGGATTTTATGGTTTTAGGTCTTAAGTCTTTAATCCATGTTGAGTTAATTTTTGTATAAGGTGTAAGGAAGGGATCCAGTTTCAGCTTTCTGCATATGGCCAGCCAGTTTTCCCAACACCATTTATTAAATAGGGAATCCTTTCCCCATTGCTTGTTTTTGTCAGGTTTGTCAAAGATCAGATGGTTGTAGATGTATGGCGTTATTTCTGAGGCCTCTGTTCTGTTCCATTGGTCTATGTATCTATTTTGGTACCAGTACCGTGCTGTTTTTGTTACTGTAGCCTTGTAGTATAGTCTGAAATCAGGTAGTGTGATGCCTCCAGCTTTGTTCTTTTTGCTTAGGATTGTTTTGGCTATGTGGGCTCTTTTTTTGGTTTCATATGAAATTTAAAGTAGTCTTTTCCAATTCTGTGAAGAAAGTCAATGGTAGCTTGATTGGGATAGCACTGAATCTATAAATTACTTTGGGCAGTATGGCCATTTTCATGATATTGATTCTTCCTATCCATGAGCATGGAATGTTTTTCCATTTGTTTGTGTCCTCTCTTATTTCCTTGAGCAGTGGTTTGTAGTTCTCCTTGAAGAGGTCCTTCACATCCCTTATCTTCCATTTATAATTGTATATGTTACATTATTGGGAACATTCTTGACAGAAGAGAATTCCCATTTGACTAAGGCATCAAAGTAAACTGATAACTTTACTTGAAATTTCATACATCTGGCTAAAGGAAAAATTTTCCACTGACTCACTTCTGGTTTCATCATTTGCAATTTTCTTTATTGTCTACCAATGTCGGGCACCTCCAGACAAGCTCATGTCACAATGCAAGCCTGGCTCTGCCTAGTGTGCCAGGAAACTAAGTAACTCAGCATACTGATTAGGGGAGAGTTTCTAGAAACTGTTGCTACACTGGATGACCACCAATATACTGTAAGCCATGTAAACATGTCCCACTAAATCCAAACTAAACATATCCCCAACTTTTCGTCAGCCAAAACCCGGTGACGTTCAGCCAACACTTCCAATGCCACCCAGGATAGAGGAGATGTCAGAGTGAAAAGGATTCATGGCTTTACCTGATTGCATTCCTACAAACAGCAAATACATGTATATATGAAGTTGGGTTTATACAATTCAGTTATCAACTAATAAAAAAATGTTGTTCAGTCATACAAAATGAGGATTATATGCTATTCTCCTCATGTAAAATTATTTTACAAACTCTACACAAAGATGTGATAAAAACACATGTAGCCAGAAAATAATAGAGGCACTAGGATTTCTTTTTCTTTTTTTCTTTTCTTTTTTTTTTTTTTTTTGAGATAGAGTCTCACTCTGCCACCCTGGATGGAGTGCAGTGGCGCAATCTCGACTCATTGAAACCTCTGCCTCCCAGGTTCAAGCGATTCTCATGTCTCACCCTCCTGAGTAACTGGGGTTACAGGCACCTGCCACCATGCCAGACTAATTGTATTTTTAGTAGAGACGGGGTTTCACCATGTTGGCCAGGCTGGTCTCGAACGCCTGACCTCAGGTGATCTGCCCACCTTGGCATCCCAAAATGCTGGGATTACAGGTGTGAGCCACCGTGCCTGGCCAACGTTTCTTATATTTATACGTTTTACAAAAATAGACCTACATTAATTCATTGCTAGCACCCCTCCTGGAACCAGGAGAGGGACCTCTGCAGGTGAGGGGACTTGAAGCATAAACTTCATTAATATCAAGATTATCAGACTCTACAAGCTGGAGAACACCAACAGACTCCTGCATCCAGGAGCTCAGAGGAGGACAGTTCTTTATGGATGGTATTAATGAGAAAGAGTTCCCAAAAGAAATTCTCTTTAGCTGGCCTTTAAGAATAGAAAGTGTTTTATAGTGAGGAATAGAAAGTAAAATACGCTCCAGGCCAGGAACATAGCCATAGCAAAGTTTGGTGTTAGAATTGAATAGAAAGTATTTTTTTTTTTCGAGAGGGAGTCTTGCTCAGCTGCCCAGGCTGGAGTGCAGTGGCGTGATCTCGGCTCACTGCAAGCTCCGCCTCCCGAGTTCACACCATTCTCCTGCCTCAGCCTCCCGAGTAGCTGGGACTACAGGCGCCTGCCACCACGCCCAGCTAATTTTTTTTTGTATTTTTAGTAGAGATGGGGTTTCACCGTGTTAGCCAGGATGGTCTCTAACTCCTTACCTCGTGATCCACCTGCCTCAGCCTCCCAAAGTGCTGGGATAGAACTGAATAGGAAGTATTTTAGTTGGAGTAATAGGAAAGTCAGGAATCAAAATACAATTTTGGAAAAATTAAGATTTGTCCCTTGCATGAACAAAATCTAACACTTTCTGTGTGTTGGCCACATAATTCATTTCCTGTGTTAGCTATACATCACTTTGTTTCTGTGATTTGCCTGTGCCCATAAAACTACATTCACATTATCTCTGTGCTACATTTCAGTATCTAAAGTGGCCACCAGAAGACACTGGTCAGGGCTGTCAAAATGTTGCACGTACCGTGGTCTTGGGCTACCAGTATATCACTCTAGCAAAGAGATCTTCTCTTGGTTTGTACCATATACTTAATGAGCACATCTTCTTTCTTTTTTTGCTTTTTCTTTTTTACCAATCTGAGGTCTAAGAATCTTGAGTGACACAGAAAGTTGATTTTTTTCTCTTACTTTATACGCTGAAGTCCACTTCTGTTGGTTTCTCCATTTACGTGTGGGTAAATGTGTTGTGACGTCTTGTCACCAAAAAAAGCCAGCTAATCTTATCTCCCATGCACTTGCTCTTTTGAATAAGGAGTGAGGAGTCCTCTGGATAATTTCTCCCAATGACGGCAAGCTTTTGTAGAGGGCTTGCTACTTGTCCCACTCTGTATGTGCTGCTTTACATGTTTCATTGACTCATTGTGATTCTGAAGGTAGATATTATCTCTATTTTATGTAAAAAGTTAATTTTGTGCTTTACATAACCTGAGAGCTAGGCCAGGCCACAGAGTCTGGGATGGGTTAAAAAAAATCTATAACATGAATGCCCTCAGGTGCTCCACTCAGAAGGGGAACATGAGCCAGCCCTACTGCTTGAGATCAGAGATTCCATTGAGGTTTCCCCACTCACAGAAGGAGGCTGAGAAAACTGCTGCCAACTACAGGCAAGGATATACCTTTATGCAAGCTACCTGGTGATCAGGAAGTGAACCAAGCCTCTTACACATGACCATCTGTGATATCCTCTATGTCACTAAAATGGCAGCTCAGACTGGACTACAGGACTAAAGACTCAGTAGAAGCAAATGTAAAATTGCTAGGAAGTGAGAATTGAGCACTAAAAAAAGGAGAATATATATATATTCCTACCAAAATTAGCTCACAAATCAAAATTCTAAAACAATGTAAAAAAATTTAAATGTATAAAAGATAGGCAAATATCAACAATTGGAACATTGATTACTCCAGAGATAGTACATTTTGTGGAACAATCTAAGTAATACTATAAAATAAATAGGTTTAGAATGTCCACTGAAACAGAGTAAGAAGTATGAAAGAATGAAAGGCAGAAATAAAACAAGAACATACAGATAAATTAGGGAAATAAAAATATGTATGTAAAGACAACTCAGTAAATGGGATGAACTCTAGACTGAACACAAAGAGAGTATCAGTGAATTAGAAGTGTGCTAATGAATGCACCCAGGTTAGGCCACGGAGTCACAGAGGAAATAAGATTAAAGTGTTTTGTTTCCCTCCACTTATATGACAACTCCCACCTGACTTCTCTACCTTACTACCTTCACAGCTCTCACCCTGTCCCTTATAAACCCACCTCTAATCTTGGAAGACTAAAGAGCTGAAAAGAAAGAAAAAAACAAACTTGGTTTTTCATGCATGCTCCATGAACGAGAAGGTTTTGTAGAAGGGAGTAAGTGCAGACACCAGACTGAGCACAGGGACAGAGAGCAGACCCTGTAGACCCTATCAAGAAGGCAGCATAGAAGAGAGCCCTGAGTGCCTTGGGAATGGGTGGGAGTGAGGGTGTTTGAGGACATTATGCCCGGAATCTAGCACTTGCACCTTCTTATTTGGGGTCTTAAAATTAATGCGGGCTAAGCTGATGCTAGGGCGTGGGAGGTAAGAGGTGAGACTGGCACTGAAGAGGAAAGTATTTTCCTAATTTTTAACTTTGCTCTGTATGCCCTTTATTTAATGTGCTTTCACAAATGCCCTATTTCTTATCCTGTAGCTGAGCTAATCATTGCTTATTTCTGGGAGATGTAAGCAGGCCTCTGTCTAACAGAGGGGCCTGAAAGGAGAGAAGGGGCCCAAGTGCCAAGACAAAGACGGGCTCTCTAAATCCAGGAAGGATAAGCACAGCTCCCCAAAGCCTTTCTCCCTTTTTTGGTCCAGCTTGCAGGGAGTCTCAATAACATTATTGGAATATTAGCAGTTACAGCTGGCCACTCTACAACCAACTTGTCATTCTATTTCCCGAAGGAGGCTGATTTCACACAAAGGACCACGGACTGGTAGTCAGAAGACCTGAGTTCTGTTCCCAGCTCCAACACACATTGCAGCAAGACCGTGGTCAAATCACTTGCTGTTTCTGAGACTTATTTTCTTGCTCTGTAAAAATGAATCAGTGAACTAAATCATCTGAAGTGATCTCCCCTGACCAGCTCCCTCAGCCCTCACCAACAAAAAACTAATGTCCATGATACAACACTATTGCTATTACATTATTCAATTAATCTTAGTGTGCTTAATTGAAAGACAATAATAACTTTCTCCTAAAACTGGGGCAAAAACTGCATTAGGTAATTAACTAAACTGCTTGCCTAGAACATAGCAGGTGTTCAATAATAGGTTTTTACTATTTGCACTTATTTGTTAATGAGAAAGAGAACTAAAATCTTGTATTAAAAAGTTGTACTTTGGCTGGGTGCAGTGGCTTACACCTGTAATCCCAGCACTTTGGGAGGCCAAGGCAGGCGGATCACGAGGTTAGGAGATCAAGACCATCCTGGCTATCAGGGTGAAACCCTGTCTCTACTAAAAATACAAAAAATTAGCTGGACATCGTAGCATAGCTGTAGTCCCAGCTACTTGAGAGGCTGAGGCAGAAGAATGGTGTGAACCCGGGAGGCGGAGCTTGCAGTGAGCTAAGGTAGCGCCATTGCACTCAAGCCTGGGCGATAGAGCGAGACTCCATCTCAAAAAAAAAGTTGTACTTTAGCCTTCCAGGAACTCGGAAATTGAAGACATAAGAGCTTGATTACAGAAGAGGAGTCCAAAAGCAGTGACAGCTTTGTTAAGGGGTGGGCCTAGACCAGGCAAGATGCTCAGCGTGGCTTGGATTAATGAAACAAGTCTCAGGCTAGAGGTCAAAGTATCTTAGAGATACTATAAGTTCTGGAGGGTGGGGTTAAAAGTAACCCCCTACAGGGTCAAGTTTTTAGGCTTCCGATAGGGTTTGGCTGTGTCCCTACCCAAATCTCATCTTGAATTGTAACTCCCATAATCCCCACATGTCACAGGTGGGACAAGTGGGAGGTAATTGAATCATGGGGGTGAGTCTTTCCTGTGCTGTTCTTGGATAGTGAATAAGTCTCAGGAGATATGATGGTTTTATAAAGGGGAGCTCCCCTGCACATGCCCTCTTGCCTGCTGCCATGTAAGATGTGACTTTGTTCTTCCTTTGCCTTCTGCCATGATTATGAGGCCTCCCCAGCCATGTGGAACTGTAAGTCAATTAAACTTCTTTCCTTTGAAAATTACCCAGTCTCAGATATGTCTTTAATAGCAGTGTGAGAATAGACTAATACAGCTTCCCAAGAAAGAAGGCTTTTGTATTGTCTGATATCTATCTACCATTGTATCTATATTTCTAGCAGTATGTTTCTGTATAACTTATATATAAATATATTAGTATTTATTATATATAATATATAAAGTATTTATTCATATAAATATATAATTTTCCCATCTCTCTATCTCCAAAAGGCCCAAATTTCTACCCATCTCCCATGTTTCTAAATCTACTCTCCACAGCACTGACCAGGCTGAGCTCTTTGGCTGTAATCAGTGGGTGTGAGCGAAGTAAATTAGCATTGCTATATTATGAAAAAAAAAATAATTTTACAATTATAGAGCAACACTATTCTCTCAAAACTCTCCCAACTTCCTCTTCTCCTGCCAAAACCAAAAACAACATAAACACATCCAAAACCTCACGCCTCACTTTGATAAAAATAGAAATAGGCTTCACAATGATTATACATAACCAATTATTCTGGGTTTACCATTTTTTATTGTGCTAGAAATGTTCTTTTTATAGTCAAATAAAGATAATTTTTGCAGCATCCTCTATTTCCCCAAAAAAACAAAACTGATTGAGTCTGGGTTACAAAACAGAACCTGGGGGCTGTCTCGTTTTATTTGTAAGCTTAGCATAAGAAATAAAAGCCATGTGATATGCTCACACATCTCAGGTTAGGATTCTTTGATCTGTGTATGTTGGATTTTATATACTCATACTACAAATAAAGTATCTTCTAAATAAATATCAAGAAATTCCAGTCTCCTTGAATATTTGTTGGACTGTTCTGTCTGCTCTCTGAATATTCAAGGAGTAGGAAAGTAGTTATTTCTCTAGCAGCCACTATGGTATTTTCTCAAACCTAAGGCATAAGATTTTCCTTTCACATTTTCATGTTTTTTAAATCAGAAGTATCTTTATAGTCAATCTATAAAGTTTATCTATATAAAGTCCTTTTTCTGCCTTCTCCATCCTCTTGTAAATTAATAAATTCTGAGACTGTCATATAAAATATGGTACTTTAGAATGTTGAAAACACAACCAAATGATTGCATATGTTTTTGATTTGACTTTATGAAGCAGGTATATGTATCCCCATTCTAAAGAAAGAGAAACCAAGATACATTGTGCTTCAATAACTTACCCGAGATAATTTACCCAAAGGCACACAAGCTATGTGGGGACACTCATAATTGGAATTTGCTTCTGTCTGCTTCCTATTGTAGTTCAGCCACATTAAAATGTAGAAAAAGGCAGAGAGTAGATGTCTTCCAGAAAGACTGCAGCTGGGACATTTGCCCTCTAAAAATAAGAGACCCTATTTGTTATCCTTGTTTTTTGCTTTCCCCAATATCAAAATTAGCTGGAATAATTGTGAAATGCATACAAAGTGATTTCAATTTTTTTAATTATTCCATAATAAGAAAGTTATTTTTATTGGCCATTTTATTGTATATTTTTAACTGATTAGTAGGACATATGAGAGACCAGTGACTAAACACCTTCCTGAGAATAAATGCTGCCATGTTGCTATAGAATGCTGTGACTATAGTTTAGACTTCCCTGGTAGAAAAGCAGGTGACAACATCACACCACATTCCAGGTACTAAGAAGATGGTATAACAGCTGCTGAGTCTTACGTTTCATTCCTATTTGGGTGCAAACTATTCCCCCTAAGCAGCTACCCATATCAGTCAACTCTTTTTCCTGAAATCAACAATACACGTAAACATCTCCCTAAAATGCTAATTTAGTTGCTGCTGATGCTACTGCAAAGCACAGTGCATTCACTGACTTCATTAACTGAGTAATCAGGGAAATCGAGTGTCAATAACTCAAGCACAGATTTTGTGTAATAAAATTATTGTTTAATTCTGTAGATCTCAGTTTTTCTGTCCTCATTGCAGAAGGATGTAAGTACATTTTCAGTCTGTAATCTAGCGTCATAAGCTGTCCCAGAAGAACCCATTTTGATTGAAAAAAATACCTTCTCCCTGTAAACATTAGCCTTTAAAAATAAAAAATAAAATGTTGCTAGATTGGGGGCCAATTATCCTGATAATTATCTAATTGATGTAAATGTATTCACCCTAAGTGTGTAATAACAAAATGTCACTTAAGTATTTTGAAAGATCTTGTGTAATTTCATTATTTATAGGATAACCAAAGGAGGAAAAGTAATTAAATGTTTATAAGTCCTGGGCATATATTGTCAGGGAATGGGGGTGGAATTCAGGGCAGAAATTGAGAGCATCAAGTATCTCAGGGCCCCAGGGCACAGATCTGTTTATTCCCAGTGAGATCCAATATTCAAGGTTGAAAATCCTCTTGGGAGAGAGATTATAATATTAACTCAATAAGAGAAAAATCTTCTCCTGGGCTGTGATGTAGAGAACAGAGCACTGAGTACTTGGAATAGGTTAGCGCAGGGGAAGAAACACTCAGACAGGGAAAATAGTAAAAGGGGTCAGCCAGAGCCACAATATGAGTGACTGCAAGGAACAAGCAAACCATGTTACCTGCTATCCTTCAGGCAGAGACAAGGGAGAAGTTTCTTCTCTCTCTCTTCTCTGCTGAAGTCAGACCCTGCAGCAGTCCATCAACAGGGTCTCAATTGAGGTCTGAAGAACGGGGTGAATGAAGGGTCAAAGAATAGGTTTGTCAACACTGCCAGATCACTGGCTTCAATGTGCTCTTCCATTTGGACATTCTGATGACTAACGCGCATATTCAATATTCATCAATCAATGAACACCCAGGATGCTGAGCTAGTGCTGAGTGTTTTCTGTTCAGTTTCCTAAAACCAGATGCTCAGGCATATGGAGATTAATTAGCATTACTGTCATCAGGCCTGCTTGTCACAGTCACTGTTGGTGGCTTTAGCCTTAGTTTAATAAAAACCATGAAAGACCCATGTTTACACTAGGGATCGAGATTTTTTTTCTCTATTAACAGCAATTATCCTACAGAAAATTCAAATTAATCAAGAGTCAGAGATGAATAAATAGTAACATTATTGGCATTTTCAAAGAAAATGATTTGTGCCTATGCATATAGGATCAGAGATGGGAGAGTTGCTAATCAAAACAACAAAAGTCCAATATAGGCTGGCATCATATTCCATTTCATTGAAAAAAATAAAATAAAATATAGCTAAAGGAGATTAATTTCACTCAGACAATCTAGCTACTAAATGGCTTAAACAGAATTTTAATGCAGAACTGTTTAATCCATGCGATAACTAAAAATCCAATATCCTATTATTAGAGGTCCTATATTGGAAGGAATAAAGGCTAAAAACTTCCCAAATTTGAAGAAAGATATATATCTAAGAATTTAATAAGCTGAGAGAAACTTAAGTAAGATAAGCCTTAAAAAAATCCATGCTAAGACACATTGTAGTTAAATTTCTGAACACTGAAATCAAAGACATTAGCTTGAAAGCAGCCAGACGGAAGTAAAGCATTATCTATAGAGAAATACAAATCAGGATGACAGTAGATTTTTCATCTGAAACAATGAAGGACAGAAGGAAATGGCACAATGTTTTTCAAGTACTGAAAGAAAAGAACTGCCAACTGTAAATTCTATAACTGGCAAAACTATTTTTCAAGAATGAAGGGAGAATAAATGCTTTCTCATATGAAGAAAAGGTAAAATAATTTGTCACTTAACAGACGTACCCTTACAGAAAGACTAAAGAAAATTCTTTAAAATTATAAAAAAGAGAAATCTTAGAGTGTCAAAATAGTCAAATATGAGAAATGAGAAAAAATAGTAATGAAAATAACCGAAATATTGCTTGATATGGTTTGGCTCTGTGTCCCCACCCAAATCTCATCTCAAATTGTAATCCCTGCGTGTCAGAGGAAGGGCCTGGTAGGAGGTGATTGGATTATGGAGGCAGATATCTCCCTTGCCATTCTCATGATAATAAGTGAGTTCTCATGAGATCTGATGGTTTTAAAGTGTGGCATTTCCCCCCTTGCTCTCTCTCTCTCCTGCCACCATGTGAGATGTGCCTTGCTTCCCCTTAGCCTTATGTCATGATTGTAAGTTTCCTGAGGCTCCCCCAGACATGTAAAACTGTGAGTCAATTAAACATCTCTTCTTCATAAATTACTCAGTCTCAGGAAGTTCTTTATAGCAGTGTGAAAATGGACTAATACATTGCTAGTCACAATAGACTATTCTCTTGATGAGTTTTCTCAATCTTATTTGAGGAATTAAACAAAAATCATAATGAATCTGTACTCATCAGCTCAGGCTGCCATAAAAAATACCATAGACTAGATGACTTAAACAACTGGAATTTATTTTCTCACAGTTCTGATGACTGGAAAATTCAAGATTAAGTTTCTGGCAAGGTTCAGTTTTTTGGTGAGGATTCTCTTCCTGGCTTGCCAATGGCCAACTTCTCCCTCTGTCCTCATTTTGCCTTTCAAAGGTGTGTACTTGCAGAGGAAGAGGAAGCACTCATTGGTGTCTTTCTTTGTAAAGACATTAAGCCTTTTAGATTGAGGCCCTGCCCTGATGACCTCAATTATAAACTTAATTATAGACACTATCTCCAAATAGAGGTGACCTTTGAATAATATCTGGGCTTCCAGAACTCTGGTGCAGTTGAAAATCCATGTATAACTTTTGGCTCCCCAAAAAGTTAACTCCTAAGAACCTACTACTGGCCCAAATCCTTACCAGTAACATAAAGAGTGATTAGTTTGTATTTTGTATGTTATATACATTATATACTATATGTGTTACAGTAAAGTAAGCTAGAGAAAACAAAATGTTACTAAGAAAAATATAAGAAAGTGCAAATATATTTACTGTTTATTAAGTGGAAGTGAATTATAAAAGTATTCATTTTTGTCATCTTCACATTGAGTAGGCTGAGAAAGAAGAGAAAGAGGAGGAGTTGGTCTTGCTGTCTTGGGGTACTTTATGGTAATAAATAATAAAATATACTACTATCTATATAGACTTTATACATTCATGACACATTTTTTTCTTAAATTTTTAATAGTTTTAGGCTATGGGATTTATCTGCTTTTTTTTCAAATTTTTGAAAATCTCCCAAAAACCTTTAAAAATATTTATTGAAAAAAATCTGCATGTAAATGGACCCAGGTGGTTCAAACTCATGTTCTTCAAGGGTCAACTGTATAGCCATACTGGGTGTTAGGGCTTCAACATACGAATTTGGAGGGAAACACAAGCATTCAGTCCATAACACCATCTGAAACTCAAGACAATGGTATTTCAGTAGTGAGGATGGTAAAGTGACCCAAATGGAAGTGAGACTTTCATGCTACACTCAAAGTGATAAAATGTTGATATCAATCGACTATAAGACATACAGAGAAATATATGTATATCTGTATATATAGTAATACCAAGAGCAACCATTACAAAATTATACCAAGCAATGTACTAAAAGATATGTTAAATAAATCAAAATAAATTCCTTAAAATATTCAAGTATCTCACAGGAATAAATGATAAATAAAACAGAAACCAACAAAGAAAACAAATAATAAAACGGCTTATTTAAGCCCTAGTAAATTTAAATGTACATAATCTAAATACACCAATTAAAAAACAATAATTGGCAGAGAGAATAAAAAAATAAAAGCTGCAAATATGAAGTGGCCCTTAAAAGGAGAAGGGGCCTTTAGTGGGGAGATTATAAAGGCAGGTTAAAAACAAACACACACGAATCTAATCCAGTCTTTGCTCTAACGTCTACCTTCTATTGTCTCTCTGGAACCAAGCTGAGTATGCCTGAGTATCTAAAATTGTTATTTCAAATAAGGACTCAGACTAAAACTTGAACAACTTATACTCTGCTGCATCAATTGGTAGTTGCTCTAATAAATAAAGATTGAATGCTCCGGCTGTTCAAATAAGACATTAAAGCACTCCACTCAAAAACAATTGATTGGTTGACTTGATATTTGTGATGGTTAATTTTGCCAACTTGACTGGGTTAAGAGAAACCTGGATTCCTAATAAAATGTTATATCTGAGTATGTCTGTGAGAGTGTTTCCAGAAAAGATTAGCAATTGAATCACTAGACTGAGTAAACAAGATCTGCCATCACCAGTGTGGGCAGGCATCATCCAATTCATGAGGGCTGAGACAGAATGCAAATTCAGAGGAAGGGAAAATTGACTCTCCTCTCTTCTGGAGCTTGGTCACCTATCTTCTCCTGCCCTAGGGTGTCAGAATTCCAAGTTCTCCAGCCTTGGGATTCCAGGACTTATACTAGCATCTCCCTCCAGCCACACCCAACCAATTACATCACTGGCTTTCCCAGTTCTCCAGCTTGCAGACAGCATATCCTGGGACTTCTTGGCCTTCATAATTACCTGAGTCAATTCCCATAAAACAATCTCTTCTTATATATCTAGATATGAAGGGGCTTCAAAAAGTTTGTGGAAAAATGAGGTTAAAAGGTAAAAATAGTATATGAACTTTATTTCTCAACATAAACTTCATCAAGGTCAAGATATTTTCATAAACAATGACCAGACATTTAGTCCATACCTAAAGAACTTAGGGTCCTGGGATTTTAATCACGTAAATGACGTCTTTTTCACGTTATTAAGTCAAGAAAAATGGGTTCTCTTTACAGATTTCTTAAGATTAGGAAACAAAAGGAAGTCAGAAGGAGCCATATCAGAACTGTAAGGTGGATGTCTAATAATTTCCTGTTGAAACTCTTGCAAAAATGACTTTATTTAATGAGAAAAATGAGCAGGAGCATTGCCACTCTGGTGAAGCTTTTTGGTGCATTTTTCTGTTAAAACTTTGGCTAACTTTGTCAAAGCACTATCATAATAAGTCAGTGTTCTTGTTCTTTGGCCCTCCATAAAGTCAACAAGCAAAAATGCCTTGTGCATCCCCCAAAAAAACTGTTGTCATAGCATTTGCTCACGACTGGTCCATTTTTGCTTTGACTGGACCACTTCCACCCCTTGGTGGTTATTGTTTTGATTATGCTTTATCTTCAGGATTGTACTGGTAAAGCCATGTTTCATTTCTTGTTACAGTTTTTCAAAGAAAACCTTTAGAATCTTTATCCCAATGGCAGCCGCGGGTTGTTTGGTTCAGCCACTGCCATCACACCGGCCACTGCAGGGAGGGCACATGGAGGAGGCAGAGAGCACCACCCCCATCCCCTAGCCAGCCACCCAGAGGGCCGCCACAATGGGACTGGGCTAGGTCACATACCAGGTAAGGGGGAGCTCCAGGCCACCCCTGAACACCAGGGCCACAGGGGAAGCTCACCGCAACGTCGCCCCTGCCCTGGATGCAAGGACCTGGAGCCCCAGCCCCAGGCTGTGAGGGGGCGTGGCCGGGTGCTGTGCTCCCTTGAGCCCCCGGGAGCCAGGGACAAGCAGGAGCCCTGCCTTTTCCAAGCTGGCAGGGTGGGAGCTCCCCAGGTGAAACTGCAGCCGCCCAAGCCCCCAAGTCAGTGGCTGCAGACCAGACCCCGGCCTCTTGCTACACGGAGCAGGCAGGAGCCCCGCCCACACCCCTGGCAGATGAAGTCGCCCAAACTGGAACTGCAGACCCAGGCAGTCCCGCACTCTTGGGGGACCTGGGAAGGCGCCCCTGCCCTTGCAGGCTCAGAGGTGCCTGCTCCCACTGCCTGGCCTCTCCCAACTCCTGGCACTCACTCCAATTTCGGAGTGCAGTTCCGGCCAACCCCAGGTGATATGACAGTTTGGCTGGGTGGGGACACACTTGGGGCAGTGCTGACATGCCGGCCCCTTGCCGCCTCAGCCCCCTCCAAACTTTGGGCACCAACGAGCACTGGAGGGGAAGCTGATGGGGGGGGCTGAGGGTAGCTGAGTGCTGGCCTGAAGTTGTCCCTTGGTGCCAGCAGCCTGAATGCCATGGATGACTGCAGGAGGCAAACAGGCTCCTGGGCAAAAGGGGGTGGGTCCCCAGCGAAGCCCCACCTTCAGGCCCCTGGAGCAGGTGACCAATGAACCAATCAGCAGGTCCGGGGCAGCTGCCCATGGACCAATCAGCATGCACTTCTACCCCACCTCCGTGGTCCATAAAAGCCCTGGGCTCAGCGGGAGCAGGGTGGAGGAGGGCTGGAGAGACATCGGGAGGACCAGTTGCAGAGAGGAGCTATCCTCTCAAGGGCCTCCTTTCTGCTGAGAGCCCAACACTGGATGAGATGACTAGAGAGGAGCTACCCACTGCGTTTCTCCTCTGAGCTGTTGTAACACTCAACAAAGCTTCTCTTCATCTTGTTCACCTCCCACTTGTCTACATACCTCATTCCTGGACACAGGACAAGACCTTGGGCAAAGGTGCCACCAGCCACAGAAGTTTCTGGCCAGAAAAGCAACACCCCAAAGATCCCATAACAGTCCCACTTGACTGAAGTTTCCATTGAAAGCTGTGCTCTTGTCTGCCACTGATCTGGGTGCATTGTTTTGGCATTCATCAAGTGGAAAGTTTGCTCAACTTTAATTTTTCATTCAGAATTGTATAAGCTGAATCAATTGAGATGTTATAATGCTGACTACTGTTTCTGCTGTTAATCATTAGTCCTCCTCAATTAGGACATTAATAAGATTAATTCATCTCAAATTGATGTGGATAGTGTACATCTTCAACATCATCTCATCCCTTCTGAAAATGAGTTATCCATTTGGAAACTGCTGATTTTGGTGGGGGGAAGGGATGGTTCCCTTTAACTTTTTGTAAAGCATCAGTAATTTCACCATTCTTCCAGCCCTCTTCACCATAAATCTGATGTTTGTTCTTGCTTCAATTTTAGCAGAAATCATTTTGCTCTAATAGGGACTCTTTTCAAACTGATACTTTAACCTTCTTAGTGCCTTAAACTAGATCCTATTTAGACATAACATGTTAGTATAATTTATTGCAGTCCAAAAAATGTTGACATCCATGCAGTTTTTTTTATATATAACATGCATTTTCCATGAACTCTTTGAAGACGCCTCGTGTGTGTGTGTGTGTGTGTGTGTGTGTGTGTGTGTGTGTGTATCTAATTGGTTCTATTTTTTTAATGGGGAAAATAACCCTAAGACAATACTCAAACACAACTGATATGACATGTTTCTCAATTGCCCTATAATAATTATTTCAGAGCCTACTGATACAACTTTCAAGATTTTCATTCCTCTCTTGCCTCAAATAAGGTAGTGCATATGTAAGAAGGCACACCATAGTACACCAGGATCAGCAACATCAGCCTTTGAGACACCTCAGGGTCAGCATGCCCACAAGGGGACAATATGAAAAAGTCACACAGCAGATCATCTCAGTGGAATGATGGCACTGTAGAAACCTACCAAGGTGCAAGTAAATTTGTCATACTTTGAAATTAAAAAGATTACTGTTAGTATCCAAGCAGGCAAAAAAGAAATTCAATAATTATTTAATTACTTTATACCCTGAGAGCATTTAACAGCTTTGAAAACAAAGTTTAAAATATTCACACAAATGTGAAGTATTCCAAGGGTAATAATTAGAATTTTTCATGTCTTTTATGAATACTTTTCCAGAAGAAAAGTGTAACTTCTGACATTCTTAAGAAATGAAGTGGTGAGCTAGGAGCTAAAAGGAGGCATTTGAACCTAAAGGTTGCATAAAGTAGTAATTTAGTACACTAGAGGAAAAAATAAGGGAACTCAGGATTCAATCTTAACTCTTCCTCTAAATCACTGTGAAACACTGGTCAAGTCACTCAATCTCTCCAGACCATGAAGAAAAGTAGCAATAAGGGCATTCTGAAAATCGATGGATGGAAGTGCCTTTTGATACATCAGGAGAAAATGCCTACCAGAGCATTTATATTTTTATAGCAAAATCAAAAGAAATATAGGCATTTTTTTTCTCCACAGATCTCTCAGAGCCAAAAAATATCCCTAACTGACGATGGCAAGGCAGGTTGTAATGTGCAGTAATAGATATCCAGATGGACACTTTGGCAGTGAGCTGAGAAATGGCCCAGAAATGGAGCCCCCAGACGTTCCCCACAGGAGGACTCCAGCCACTGTGAGTGTCACAGGAGGTGCATTTCCAGAAGGTTGTATTGTCTGAGAAGACAAAAAGTGGTTCTCACAATCAAAAATGAGTTAATGTGACAATATTTAAATACAGAGATTATTTACTGCTTTCTCCTTTAGACTTAACTAACATTGAGTTTCCTCTCTATGAGACTGTCGACAGCTTTCTGAATACTAATGGGAAGACTGGTGTCTAAAATCAGAATTAAAAAGCTTGAGTATCGCTTTTTGACTACTCATTTTTTTACATTCCACAGTTAGATCAGTTATATCATGTTCAGAAGTGGAAAATAAAAGAAAAGGCTAATGATTTCATCAAGGCTGAATTCTCTTATTTATTTATTTATTTATTTATTTTTATTGAGGTGGGGGTCTCACTATGTTGCCCAGCCTGGTCTCAAACTCCTGAGTTCAAGGGATCTGCCTGCCTTGGCCTGCCAATGTGTTAGGATTTTATGCGTGAACCTCCTTGCCCGGCCAAGGCTGAATTCTCTATGATCTGTCAGTGACAAATTTTATCTTTCATGCTTCTCTTCATCAAATAATTTTCCTTCCTTCTTAAGAAATCAGAGATATTTATTTTGGTACTGACCAAATATTTAAAAGCAAAAATTAATCACTTGGTAACTTACACCATTTTTTAGAGGCCATTTTTGGACTTCAGCGTTTTGATTAAGTCTAGGTCCTAAGATTTGGTCAAAGTCACTTAATCTCTCAAGACAATGTTCAGCACAGTCACGAAAAGGTGATTCTGGTTGCACCACTACTATCCACAGACTGAGTAACCCGGACTAATCCCTTAGCTTCTTAGTGTAACACATGCTATAGTTTTTGGTTACATATGAGCTGTTGGAGAAGTCGAGAGTCACAGGTTAAACTGAAACATGAGAAATAAAAACAATCCCAGCAATGAAGTTTCCTCAATGCCTTGTTGATGTGGGATGACTCAGTCTTTACTAGGTATGCCAGCTTGTCCTGGACCTTAGGGACTAAGGTCACTAATAAAAAACACAACTGTTTGTCTATAGGAATTTCTGATTGTGGAGCAGGATGAAGAGGATGAACATTACTGAGCAACATGTTTAGAAATTAGCTATTATCCCCCATTTTACAGATAAGAAAAATTGTGCTGAAAGAATTTAAATAACTTTTTCAAGACTACTCTGCTGGCAAGTGGCAGACGAAGAGTAAATTACAAACTACAGTGACAACATTATTTTCTGAGTATCATACTGCCTCTTTCCGCTAAGGCCCAATCAGTACCACAAAAATCACTCACCATCCTTGGGAAAAAATTAATTCACCTTCTGGCCAAAGGAATACAGAGTTAAATAAATGTAGTAAGAAAATTGCACTTGTAAAGTAAGGGAACTAATCATTGAATTAGTAATTATAACAACAATTTTCATTATTATTATTTTTTAGGCAGAGTCTTGCTCTATCATCCAGGCTGCAGTACAATGGTGCAATCACAGCTCACTGCAGCCTCCACCTCCTGAGCTCAAGCGATCTTCCTGCTTTCCCTCCTCCAGAGTAGCTAGGACTAAAGGCATGCACCACCATGCCCAAATAATTTTTTCTCTCTCTTTTTTTTTTTTGGTAGACATGAGGCCTCTTTATGTTGCCCAGGCTGATCTTGAACTCCTGAGCCCAAGCAATCCTCCCACTTCAGCCTACCAAGTTGGATTAGAAGCATGAGCCACCACTCCTGGCCAGTAATTATTGTTGAGTCTCTGTTAATATGTAAGAAAGTGACTACAGTATTTAAAACACACAAATTACACTGGGTGCAGTGACTCATGCCTGTAATCCCAACACTTTGGGAGGCCAAGACAGGATGATCGCTTGAGTCCAGGAGTTTAAGACCAACTTGGGCAAAATAGTGGGAACCTATCTCTACAAAAATTTTTAAAAATTAGCCAAGCATGGTGGTGCATGTCTGTGGTCCCAGCTACTTGGGAGCTTGAGGTGGGAGGATAGCTAGAGCCTAGAATATTGAGATTGCATAAGTCGTGATTGTACCACTGCACTCCAGCCTGGGCAACAGAGTGAGACTCTGACACACACACACACACATGCACACACACACACAGAGAGAAAAATCATTGCGTATAACAAACATTTATAGTCTGAAAGAAAAATCCAGA